>NC_000001.11:176214890-176517920 GCF_000001405.40 Homo sapiens | reverse complement strand
GCAACTCTAGAACTACTGAAACCTGCTTTCAAAAATTTCCTTTCTTTATTGCCCTGGAATTCTGAGCTCTTCTCATTTTATGGTTTCCTTCTGCCATGTCGAAGGTGGCCAGTCACCCTTCGACCTTTAAATGCTGTCTTCATGTGAGGAGTACCAATGAAAGGCGCCTGACTGCCTTGTTTCCGGTGGTGAGTGATTCCAAAGTGAGGTGAAAAGTCAATGCAACTTTCTTAAATGCCTGACTCACTGACCTACAGAAAAGCTGAGCCTCTATCTTGCCCTGCCTCACAGTCACCTGTTTTTAATTGCATCAGTCCCCATATTAGCCACAGGCTTTGGTTTCACAGCCTGGGATGACTCACTGCCTTCCCTAAACACCTCCTGCCTGAGAAGAGCTGTCATGGGTATCTCCTCACATTGATAGTTTCCTTTTTAATATTTATAAACACCAAAGTATTTTTCTCTCCCCCACTTGAAATGTATATATTCATTTATTAAAAGACATTGACGTTGCTGAGGTAATGGCCTGTCGACAGATTTACAGCAGGAACTATCTCACTGCCTGCAGGCCTGTGCATTTTAATATAATTAAAAGGCTTCTGTTTGGAATCTTAGCTAATTAATATTCATGCTTTCCTCCTTCCACCTGCCATTCCCGATTTGCTGTCTTTTAGCAGATTGATCAAGACCCAATTAATCCCACCAGTCAAAGCAAGGCAGGCAGGAAAAGAAAGGGGGAAATACCATTGCAGTGCTGGCTTTTTAATGAAAAAGCTCATTTTACTAACGGAAATTTTTTCCTGGTTTTTGCGGAAGGTCAAGGAAGAGTCTCTATAAATATGGTAGGAATAGAACAGATAGGAATTGTAGGTTAAATTGGTCACATTGAAATTTTACTAATTTTTAAGAGTTTTCCTAAGTTTCATTCATGCTGGAAATCACAGAACAGAAACTTGGAGAACCAGATAACAGACATTTTTAAGAGAAATAAAGCTGAAAATGGCAGTGACCATAGCTGAGAAAAACTATCCACACAAATGAATGTGATTCACCTACATAGGATCTTTGAGAACCAATCAGATTTCCAGAGATAGACACATGGCCACTGTCTTAGTGCATTCCCACTGGTCCAACAAATTACTACAGACTGGATAATTTGAAAACAACAGAAACTTATTTCTCGTAGTTCTGGACTTTCTTATAGTTTTGGTGTATGGTAAGGGCTTGCTCTTTGCTTCCAAGATGGTGCCTTGTTGATGTGGTCCCCAAGAAGGAAAAAACACTATGTCCTCATATGGCAGAAGGGATGGAAGAACAGAATTCGTTCCCTCAAGCTCTTTTATAAGGGCACTGATATCATTCATAAGGGCAGAGCACTTATAACCCAATCACCTCCTAAAGGCCCCACCTTTGAATAGTATTGCATTGGGAGTTAAGTTTCAACATGGATTTTGGAGGGGCACAAACATTCAAATCTTAGCAGTCACTTACCTTTCTTTGCTTCTAAATGGAAACTGTTTTGCCTTAAAAAGGAAATATTAAGGCAGGGGATGGGGGAGTGGGGAGGATGGTAAATGATGAGAATGAGGTATTCAAATTAAACTTTCTTCAGGTATATGAAGGCCTGTCACAAAAAAAAAAAAAAAGAATTAAACTCTCTTCATTTGACTCCGAGGACAGAAAAGGGAATCTTAGCAGCATTTGTGGTGAGACACTCAACAACCATGGACTTGAGCTTGGGGGAGATCTGAATTAAAAGAAGGAGGAAATGGTTTGGGGGCTCTACTTCCCCTACACAGTTGCTCTTCCCAATTGTGGGTGTCTTGAGAACATGTTGTCCTGTGATGAGAACAAGAGCCACTAGAGAAAGTCACCAAGCAAACTATCTCACATTTAGGCTAGTTGACTTTGGCCAAGTTTACTCCACCACTTTTAGTCTCATCCATAAAATGGGCTAGTAATACCTCCTTCCGAGAACTGTTGTGGGGACTAAATGAGAGTCTTCAAGTGCCTAGTGCAAGACTCAGTAAATATCAATTCCACTTATTTATCCCAGCAAGAGGGAAATGTCTTCCACACCAAGGAATGGAGTGCATAAGTGACAGCTACTTCATGGCATAGTGAACATTTCTCTAGAAAGAAGAAAGGAAGATGGAGTGGTAAGGAACTCACTCTCTTTTGGCTGGAAAATGCACAAGTGAAAAAAAAAGCCAAAATGAAGCTTACTGCATCTCAAAGCCAGCCTCGCCCAGTGCAGTGGGTATTAACAATGGAGCAAAGAGGGGTCACAGGGACAAGATAAAAATAAACAGAAAGCACCGGATTGATGCAACAGGTACATGTAGTTTGTCTTGTTGATGAGTCACTGGTCTGAGAAATCTGTTTAGGTTTGGCAGGAAGCCCGTGAACAGGCTGCAGCTTAATTGTCCTTCCACTGTGGTTGCTCCCATTGTGAGCTTCAGGCTCTTTATTTTTAAAAAGTCTGGGTGATCACAATCCTCCTGGATGAGATCATATGGGGACTGTATTGCTGACCCATCCAACCAGAATGCCCTTTTACAGTTCCTGGCTATCAAACTCCCACTCATCCTCCAGTGCAGTTCAAGTGTCTCTCTTTATGGGAAGCCATTCCCGTTAGCCTGGTCAGAAATAATGACTCTTTATTTTGTGTCCTGCTCTATTAACATTTGCAAGTCCCTCTCCACCAGTGATAATGATGATATTTGCTAACAGTTATTGAAGACTTTCCAAGTGCCAAATATTGCACTCAGTGTTTTATTGGCACTCTCATTACTCTTAGGAGGTATATATTTTAATTCTCCCAGTTTTACTGATGTTAAAACTAGTCTAGTGAATATTGTGAATATCTTGCCCATTAATATACAACTAACAAAGCAAGATTAGCAGCAAGGTATTTGGACTCCAGAGGCCAACGTATTCACTGTGATCTCTTCCTCAATGCTTAATATACACTAGGAGCTCGATAGAGATGTAAACACTGAATAAGAATAATCTTGATGGAATGGAGGAAAATGCCTGAACAGCAAGGCCAGTCTGGAATGGGCAAACTCTACCAGAGATATGCACAAGCCGGAGAGGCTTTCTGTAATCCATGGGCTTTGTCATCGCATTTCTGCTGAGCCTCCTTTTAGTCCTAGGCATGCCTAAAATTTGATTCAAAGTCAAAATTTCCTTGAAACAGATTCATCCCATGAAGAATGCTATGGATAAATAAGTCTACACCTCGTTTTTTAAGTCGTATAATTTGTCAAAATGTTATTGTCAGTGATGAGCCTAGGCTGCAGTGAAACAAGGGTTGAGTCAAAATGATTGAAAGCCCAAGAGATTGCTCCACTGAGGTTTTGACTTAAGTCAAATCCATGTGGTGAAGGGAAAGACTGCAGAGGCAGACGTGGGTTAAGGTCCGGGGGATCCAGGAGTGATGTGGTTTGGATGTGTGTCCCTTCCAAATCCACGTTGAAATTTGATCCCCAGTGTTGGAGGTGGAGCCTGGTGGGAGGTGCTTGGGTCATGGGGCAGATCCCTTATGAATGGCTTGGTGCCCTCCCCATGGTAACTAGTGGGTTCCCTCTCTGTTAGTTCCCATGGGAGCTGTTTAAAGGAGCTGTTGTTTAAAGGAGTCTGACACCGCCTCCTCTCTCTTGCTCCCTCTCTCACTATATGATGTGCCAGCTCCCCATTTACCTTCCACCATGATTGTAAGCATCCTGAGGCCTCACCAGAAGTAGATGCTGGCACTATGCTTCTTGTACCTTCTGCAGAACTGTGAGCCAATTAAACATTTTTTCTTTATAAATTACCCAGTCTCAGATATTCTTTTACAGCAATGCAAAACAGACAAACACAGGGAGTATCTTGTTGTCTCTCTGAAATAGTCATCCATAAAATTGTGGTAATAAGCCTCCATCCCTCATTCATGTTGAGATGGCATGTATGAGAGCCCTTTGTGGTGCATGTGGATGGATGATGCTCTTTGAAGAAAGTGGTTACAGTCATGACTCCTCGGACAGCATGCTCGCTTCAGCTGTCTGCCTTTAACTGAGTCCTAGACAGATACCTAAAATGCATTTTCTTCCCCCTCTTGAGCTTCCACCAAGATTCAAACTGCTATCTAACAGAGGATGTAGTATATAAATGAGAAGAGAATAATTATGAGGCTTCTAGAGTCTTTCAGGGAATAATTGTAAGAAACAGAAGAGATCATAGAATTCAACTCTCTCATTTTACAAATAAGGAAATTGAGACCAGAATCAGAAAAATTTGTGGAATGAGAGATTGGCCAACTGGACCAAGATAACACAACTGGTTCACAGAAGAACTAGGATGGGAACTCAGATCTTCCAACTTCTATTCATATCGTGCTGTGCTTTCTCTTCTCAGAAATGAAATTTCTATTTCCATTTTGATAAATGCCTCAAGTGAGAAGCAGGGAGGGAAGATCAGAGGAAGGCAAAAGAGAAGGAGAGGTAGACTCTTCTCTTTGAAACAATTTAAGAAAGAAATAGGAAAAAGCTTTGTGCTTGTGTTGAAAAAAGAAAAATGAAAGAAAAAATAAAGAAAAAATTATTAACAATTTAGAAAAATATAAGCAAGTAACAAGTTTATCCAAAAAGCTATGGAATATGAGTGAGAAAAACAAGTGAAGGAACATCTGTATTAGTTAGGGTTCTCCAGAGAAACTGAATCAGTAGAAGATATAGATGGTGATGATGATGATGATGATGATGATGATGATGATGATAGACAGAAATGTATAATAAAGAATGGCTTACACAATTATGGAGGCTAAGTTAAGTCCAGGCCCAGGAGAGCTGATTTTGCAGTTCCAGTTCAAGTCTGAAGGCCTTGGAAGCAAGAGAGCTGATGGTATAAGTTCTGGTCCTTCATGTAATCCTTCACAGTTTGCAGAAGGATCAGGCTATCCCTAACTTTTGAAACTGTTGTAGAAATTCATCAGCTTCCTGCAAAATACCTGGTGAGAATGGCACTCAGTCTGATACCCAGAAGCATTGTGTTATGACCTGTTGTTGCACCTCTTACATTGCTTTTTTTAATTTGTAAACACAGGCTGAAATGTAAAGGGCTCAAAATGTTTTATTAATGTTTTTAAAAATATTTTAATCAATTTTATTGAACAATGATTTTCATAAACTAAAATGCCCATTTGAAGTACATAATTCAATAAGTTTTGACATATATATATGCACACATCAGTGTAATCAATACATTAATAAAAATGTAGACTATTTTCATCACCCTAAAAAGCTTTCTCATGTTCCTTTGTAGTCATTCTCTTCACCCCTTGTTTCAGACGGCCAATGATCTGCTTTATGTTGTTATAAATTAGATGTATCTGTTCTTGAAATTCTTATAAATGAAATGCTACAGTATGCACTCTTTTGTATCTAGTTTCTTTTACTTGGCTAGCTTCTTTTACTTGGCATAATGCTTTTGAAATTCCTTAAAGCTGTTGCATATGTTAGTAGTAGTTCATTTCTTTTATTGCAAAGTGGTGTTCCATTTCATGGATATATCATAATTTGCCACTTAATGAAACTGCCAAACTTTTTTCCAAACTGGTGTACCATTTCACATTCCCACCAACAGTGTATGAAAGTTCCAGTTGCTCCACATTTTTGCCAACACTTAATGTGGTCTTTTTTTTTTTTTTTTTTTTTGCAAATTTAGTCTTAGTAAAGATGTAGCAGAATCTCATTGTGGTTTTAATTGCTTTTCCCGATGAATAATTTTATTGAACATATTTGTACATGCTTATTGGCCACTTATGTCTTCTGAAAAATGATATGAAATATTTTGCCATTTTGGGGAGGTCCTTTTTATTCTTTTTATCAAGTTTTAAGTGTTCCTTATATATTCTAGTTGCAAGTACTTTGTCTGACCTAGGTATTCTGAGTATTTTAATCTATGGATTTAATTTTAATGTTTTAATAGCACCTTTTAAAGGAAAAAAACTGATATTTATAAAGTCCAATCATCACCTACCAAGTAGGAGAGAACCCAATAGTGTAAGTTTCAGTCTGAGTTCAAAGACCAGAGAACTGGAAGGCTGATGGTATAAATCCCAGTTCAAGTTTGAAGGTCTGAGAACCAGGAGTGCCAATGTCAGAAGCCCGGAAAAATTGGATATGCCAAGCTAAAGCAGAGAGAGCAAATTCACTTCCTCTGCCTTTTTGTTTTATTCAGGCCCTCAACAGATTGGATGATGCCTACTCACATTGGTCAGGGTCATCTTTACCCCGTCTACTGATGCAAATGCTAATCTCTTTTAGAAACATCTTCACAGATGTTTCACAGAAATTTTGTTTCACCAGTTATCTAGGTACCGTTTGCCTAGTTAAACTGACACATAAAATTATCACAACCAGTTAAGACAACGAGTGTCGAACAGAAGTTATAAAAACAAACATCCTTGACTTGTTCACAGTCCTAAATGGAAAGTATTCAATTGTTCCCCATTAAGTATGATATTCACTGTAAGTTTTTGCAGATTCCCTGTAAATCAGAAGTACACCAAACTGGACTTGTATTCCTAATTTGTTGAGAGTTTTAATCATGAATGAGGGCTATATTTTTTACAAATGCTTTTTCTGTATCATAATCCCTGGCAATATACCTTGTTCTGAAAAGTCCTTTTTTCTGATATTAATATATGAATTACAGCTTTCATTTGATTAGTGTTTGAATGGTATATTTTTTCCATCCTTTTATTTTGAACCTATCTGTGACTTTGTATTTACTGTACACATTTTATAGACAACACAAAACTATAACAGGAATGATTATTTCTTTTTTTTAATCCATTCTAATAATGTTGGCCCTTTAATTGAAGTGTTTAGAAAGTATACACTTATTATGATTATTGATATGGCTATGTTTGAATTAACTATCTTAATAGTTGTTTTCAATTTGCCCCATTAATTCTTTTTTTGTTCCTTTTTTCTGCCTTCTTTGGATTAAATTAAATGTTTTTATAATTGGGTTTTATCTCTGGCTTATTAGCTCTCCCTCTGTTTTTTCATTTTTGGGGTATGTGTGTGTGTGTGTGTGTGTGTGTGTGTGTGTGTGTGTATGTGTTGCTTTAAATTTTAAAATATACATTTTAGCTTATCTCAGTCTACCTTCAGTGCTATTATATTACTTACAGTGATATTCTTCCATTTTCTCCTTCCCATTCTTTGTACTATTATATATTTTTATCTGTATGTATTATAAACTATAAAACGACTGCCGTTTTTGCTTCAGTTATCTTTTGAAAAAAATCTTAAGTAAAATTTTTTATTTATTCATATATTTACAATTTGTAGGGTTCTTTATGTCTGTATGTAGCTCTAATTTCTTCCTCAAGAATGTCTTATAACATTTCTTGTAGTTCAGATCTCATAAATACAAGTTCTTTCAACTTTTCTTTGAAAAGCCATTATTTAAACTCCACTTTTAAAAGAAATGTTCATTTGATATGGCATTCTAGTTTAACAGAAGGTTTTTGTTAATTTAATTTTCTTGTTCTGTTCTGTTTGCTTTAGTTTCAGTACTTTAAAGATGGTGTTACATTGTCTTCTGGTTTAAATAGGCTCAGGTGAGAAAACGATGATAATTCTTATCTTTGTTGCTCTGTTCATAACATGTTCCCCACCCCTATCTGCTTTTTAAAATTTTCTTTATACTATCAGTTTTTACAAATTTTGTTATGATGTGTCTTAGTATATTTGTCTTTGTGTTTAGCCTGCTTGAAATGCCTTGTACTTCTCAAATATGTGAGCTTATAGTTTTCATCAAATTTGAAAAATTTCAGCCATATTTCTTTTTCTTATTTTTTGTTTTTGGGGTTTATTTGTCGTTGTTTTTGAGACAGGTTCTCACTCTGTCACCCAGGCTGGAGTGCAGTGGCATGATCACAACTCATGGCAGTCTCAACCTCCCTGGCTCAGGCGATCTTCCTGCCTCAGCCTCCCAAGTAGCTGGGACTACAGGCACACGTCACCATGCCCAGCTAATGTGTTTTTTTTGTTGTTTTTTTTTGTTTGTTTGTTTTGTTTTTTGTAGAAACGGGGTTTTGCCATATTGCCCAGGCTGTTCTCAAATTTCCAGGCTCAAGCAATCTGCCAGCCTCGGTCTCCCAAAGTGCTGGGATTATAGGTGTGATTCACCATGCCCAGCAAAGTCATATTCCTGCATATATTTTTCTGTCCCCCTCCATTCTTCTGAAACTCTAATTAAATATACATTACATATTCTCTAATTTCATCCTCACATGTTGGGGGAGCGACCTCGTGGGAAATGATTGAATCATGGGGGTGGATTTCTCCCTTGCTGTTCTCATGATAGTGAGTGAGTTCTTATGAGATCATTTTGTTTAAAAGTGTAACACTGTCCCCCTTCACCCTCTCCCTCCTGCTGCCATGGAATATGTGCCTTGCTTCGCCATCATCTTCTGCCATGATCATAAGTGTCCTGAGGCTTCCTCAGCCATGTGGAGCTGTGAATCAATTAGACCTTTTTTTTAAAAAATAAATTACTCAGTCTCAGGTAGTTCTTTATAGCAGTGTGAAAACGGACTAATACAATGGCTTTTGGAAAAATTTCAAGCAGTCTGACATATATATATGTTAGATGATATGGTGTGGCTCTGTGTTCCCACCCAAGTCTCATATCAAATTGTCATCCTCACATGTTGGGGGAGTGACCTCGTGGGAAATGATTGAATCATGGGGGTGGATTTCTCCCTTGCTGTTCTCATGATAGTGAGCCACTTCTCATCTGACCTCTGATTAAATAGTGCATCACATATTCTCTACTTATATATTAGATATAATAAACTCTAATTATACATATTATATTTCATCTAACATATATATATGTCAGACTGCTTGAAATTTTTCCAAAAGCCATTGTATTAGTCCGTTTTCACACTGCTATAAAGAACTACCTGAGACTGAGTAATTTATTTTTAAAAAAAAGGTCTAATTGATTCACAGTTCCACATGGCTGAGGAAGCCTCAGGACACTTATGATCATGGCAGAAGATGATGGGGAAGCAAGGCACATATTCCATGGCAGCAGGAGGGAGAGGGTGAAGGGGGACAGTGTTACACTTTTAAACAAAATGATCTCATAAGAACTCACTCACTATCATGAGAACAGCAAGGGAGAAATCCACCCCCATGATTCAATCATTTCCCACGAGGTCACTCCCCCAACATGTGAGGATGACAATTTGATATGAGACTTGGGTGGGAACACAGAGCCACACCATATCATTGTCATTGAGACTCTATTCATTATTTTTTTTTTTACTTTTTTTCCTATATATACTTCATTTTGGATAGTTTTCATTTATGTTTTCAAGTTCCCCATTTTTTCTTCTACATTGTCTAATTGGCTATTAATTCCATGCAGTGATTTTTCATTCAAGATATTTTATTTTTCAGAATTAGAATTTATGATTTATGTTTTTCTCTATATGTCATTTTTATCCTCAGTGTTCATATTTTTCTTTAAATAATTATGCATATTTACAATAGCTGTTTTTAAATTGTTGTTTGCTAATTCTTTCACCTCTGTCATTTTGAGTATGTTTCTACCGACTGATTTATTTTACTGGATATGGAATCATATTTTCCTGTTTTCACATGATTAGTAATTTTACGGAATGCCACATTTGGTTAATTTTATGTTTTGAATGATGGATTTCGTAGTCTTTCTTTAAAGAGTGCTACACTTTGTTCTGGTAAACAATTACATTACTGGAAGATCAGCTTGATCTTTTTGAAGATTGTTTTTAAGCTTTATAAAGTCTGTTGAGTAGCCTTTACTATAAGGATAGTTTAGCCCCACTATGAAGGCATGACTTCTCTGAGGTCTTGACCAAATGCCCCAAGGTTTTTAGGGGTTTTTAGTTTGTTTTTCTTCCGATTTTTACTTTTTTATTCTGGTAGCTTTTCTGCTTTTTATATAATTTTTTTTAAATTTCAACTTTTACTTTAGATATGTTGGTACATGTGCAGGTTTGTTACATGGGTATATTGCACTCAGGTTGTGAGCATAGTACCCAACAGGTACTTTTTCATCCCATGCCTCCCTCCCTCCCCTCCCTCCTCTAGTAGTCCACAATGTCTACTGTATCCCTGCTTATGTTCATTGGGCTCAATGTTTAGCTTCCACTTATAAGTGAGAACCTATGGTATTTAGCTTTCTATTCCTGCATTAATTTGTTTAGGATTATGGTCTCCAGCTCCATCCATGTTGCTGCAAAAGACACGATTTCATTCTTTCTTATGGCTGTGTAGTATTCCATGATGTATATGTACTAGATTTTCTTCCATTCCATCATTGATGGGCATTAAGCTTGATTCCATGTCTTTGCTATTGTGAATAACACAGTGATGAACATACAAGTGCAGGTGTCTTTTTGGTATAATGATCTATTTTCCTTTAGGTATATACCCAGTAATGAGATTGTTGGGTCAAATGGTAGTTCTGTTTTATGTTCTTTAAGAAATCTCCAAACTGCTTTCCACAGTGGCTGAATTAATTTACATTCCCACCAAGGTGTAGAAGAGTTCCCTTTTGTCCACAGCCCTACTAGCATCTGTTACTTTTTTACTTTTTAGTAACAGTCATTCTGACTGCTGTGAGATGGTATCTCATTGTTGTTTTGATTTGTATTTCTCTAATGATTAGTGACATGAAGCATTTTTTATGTATTTGTTGACCACTTGTATGTCTTCTTTGGAGCAGTGTCTGTTCATGTCTTTTGCCCTTTTTTTAATGGGGTTATTTATTTTTGCTTGTTGATTTGTTTAAATTCCCTATAGATTCTGGATATTAAACCTTTGTTGGATGCATAGTTTGCAAATACTTTCTCTCGTTCTGTAGGTTGTCTGTTTATTCTATTGATAGTTTCTTTTGCTGTGCAGAAGCTCTTTAGTTTAATTAGGTCTCACTTGTCAATTTTTGGTTGCAATTGCCTTTAGGGACTTAGCCAAAAATTTCTCGCCAAGACCAATGTCAAGAGGGGCATTTTGTAGCTTTTCTTCTAGGATTTTTATAGTTTGAGGTCTTACAAAGCCAAACTATCTTTCTTCACTGATGATACGATTCTCTATTTAGAAAACCCTAAAGACTACACAAAAAGGCTGCTAGCCCTGATGAATGATTTTAGCAAGATTTCAGGATACAAAATCAATGCACATAAATTAGTAGCATTTCTATACACCAATAGTGATTAGGCTGAGAGTCAAATCAAGCACACAATCCCATTTACATAGCCACAAAGAAAATAAAATACCTAGGAATATGGCTAACAAAGGAAATGAAAGATCTCTACAAGGAAAACTACAAAACACTGCTGAAAGAAATCAGAGATGACACAAATAAATAGAAAAATATTCCAAGCTCCTGGATTGGAAGAAACAATATCATTAAAATGGCCATACTGCCCATAGCAATTTACGGATTTAGTGCTATTTTTGTCAAACTAGCAATGTCATTCTTCACATAATTAGAAAAAAACTATTCTAAAATTCATATGGAAGAAAAAAAAAAGCCTGAATAGCCAAAGCAATACTAAGCAAAAAGAACAGAGCCAGAAGCATCACACTAGCTGACTTCAAACTATTCTATAAGGCAATAATAACCAAAACAGCATGGTATTGGTACAAAAACAGACACACAGACCAATGGAACAGAACAGAAAATTCAGAAATGAAGCTGTACACTTATAACCATCTGACTGATTTTTGACAAGGCTGACAAAAACAAGCAATGGAGAAGGGACTCCTTATTCAATAAATGGTGCTGGGATAACTGGCTAGCCACACACAGAAGAATGAAATTGGGTGCTTATCTTTCACTATATACACAAATTAATCCAAGATGCCCCAAGTTCTTAACAAGAATTCTCCAGTCTAACTGCTTAAAATCTGAGTATCTTCCAGCCTTTTGTGAGCTCTGGGAACCCTTCAGTTTATCATTTTTTTACTGGTCTTGTAAGATTTATTCCTTTGCATGCATGTTCAAGTATTCAACAACAGACTCAAGAGAATCCCTGTGATATTTTTGAACCTCATTTCCTGTGCAACTCCCTCCTCTCCAATACTCTATCTTGATAACTGAAGTCACCTTGGTGTTTTGTTTTTGTTTTTTTGGTTTTTTTTGAGACAGAGTCTCACTCTGTCCCTGTAAAAAGGCTATTCAGGCTTTTTGTTGTTGTTGTTGCTGTTCCATATGAATTTTAGAATAGTTTTTTCTAATTGTGTAACCTCCAATCTAATTTTTTCTAATTGTGTGAACTCCAGTCTCTATCTCTGCAACTCAGCAATTCTGCCCTACTTGGCTTGAGAATCCTTCTTTGAACCAGAAGTGGAAAGTGTCTCCAGGCAAAAGTTGGTCAATCTATGGCTCACTTCACGTGTTTCTCTACTTTCAAGAATCACAGTCCTGTGCTGCCTGTTTTCCAAACTCCAAAAAACAGTTGTCTCATGTACTTTGTTCAGTTGTTTTAGTCGTTTATAATGGGAGGGGAAATCTGGACCCAATAACCCCATGATTACCAGAAGAAGACATTGACCCCAAATGTGCTTTTGTTTGCTTTTAAAGCACAAATGCATTGATTACTTTGATCTGAGGACAAAATAGCCTTGGAAGGGTTGAAAGAATTGATTAAATAGAATGAAAATGCTACAGATGTCAATGAGTATTGGGTTATGTTATTTATTAACGGGTTTTTTGTCATTTTATTTAATGAACTTGGGAGGAAGGAATTAGGAAAGACAAGGCCACTAGAAAGCCATTTCACAACAGGAAAAACTGTTTTATTAAGGATTTTCACACTGTTTTACTGTTCCTTAGGTAACTCCCTGTATTAGGTAGGATGGGCTAGATCATTCTGTGGTTATAAGTAACCTTCCAATAGCAGTTACTTAAGATAACTACGTTTTATTCTCACTTATGCTGCCCACCCATTATGGGTAGATTATAGCTCTGTTCCGTATTATCTTCATTTCATCATCCATCTGAAGGAGTAGTACCCATCTGAGACATAAACAGTTCTATGGTAGAGGAAAAGAGATATGGAAAACCATGAGATGGCCCTTGCAACTTTTGCCTTGAAAGTGACACATTGCATTGGTCTAAGCAGGTCACATGGCTATCCATTGCTTTAATAAGCCAAGAATATAAAGTCTTTCCAAAGAGAGGGGAAATGTAAGAAAACAGTATTTTGTGAATATTAACAGCAACTGATCTTCTGTCTTGGATTAGCTCCTACAGAAAAAACTAGACAGCATCAGGGAACGCAGCTAAGCATTTGAATGTGGACTCCATCCTGAACACAGTCTGTGCTTAAATGACTACCACAGCCATTAGCAAGACGAAAAAGTGATCTATATCTACTGATATGTGGATACCATGAAAATATAGTTAAGTGAACAAAAGGAAGATAACATAATAGTGTATATAACATACTTTCATTTGTGTAAAGAACAGAATATATTTATATATCTGCATGTATAGCATAGAAATATTCTAAAAGAATGCACAGAAAATTGATGCCTCTGAAATAATATGCAGGAAAATGTTTCTCTGAAACAGAATATAGGAGTCTAAATTCAGAGAAATATTCATATTATACACTCTTTTGTACTGTTTAAATTTTTTCAAGGCTATTTATTTTTTTCCTGATGACTTTTCAAAAATTGCTGCTTAGTGTACACAGAAGAGTTTGATATTGGCCAGTCAATTCCCCCAGCAGTGTCACAGTATGTCATAGAGGGTAAAGATATGGAACCATACCACAGAATGACCATAACCAAGATGAACTTAAGGAAGTTCTTCATAGTTTCCAGAGATTAACCTAATGAAAAAATGTACATGAAATAAAACTTTCAAGTGACTTCCTTATGTCCTGACATTGATGCTGAGTTTTTTCATCCCACTTCTGTAGAGATGTTTATTTCATGATACACTTGTAGAAGAAATAAAACAGAGCTTAATGCTTATTTGTACTACTTGTTTCCTGCTATGTTCTTCTCCCACAAAAATTGCCACTGATGAACTATTCCTAATCTGAGGAGGCATTCTGCAACATCTGCCTTCTGAGCATGGAACTTGACTTTCCAGAATGGCAAGAGCCAATCCTCTGCCTAATCCTTACAAAGAACAGACACTGCTTTCTCCAGAATTCACTTCACAATATTGGAGCTATGGCACAAGAACAAGGTCAATGTCACACTGGAATAATGAACATATTAACTAAGAAGTTCTGAGTTTTATAGTGAGAATCAGGAAATTTCACACCTACCTCTATGGCTATGTTTTAAATTTTTTTATGATTCTAATTAACCATCTCTTAAAATTTTTCTGTGTTAATGTGGGAGAAAGAAGAATGGCCACCCAAAGATGTCTACTTCCTAATCACTGGAATCTGTAAATATGTTGTGTTACATGGCAAATTATGGAAAGAAATTATGTTACATGAGAATTAAGATTGTAAATGGGATTAAGATTACTGATCAGCTGATCTTAAAATAGGGAAGCTATCCTGTATTATCCAGGTGAGTTCACTGTAATCAAAGGGTTCTCTAAAGTGGAAGTGAGTGGCAGAAGATGCCTCATCTTCATCACTGTCAGAGTGATGAAATATAAGAAAGATTCAGCCAGTCACCATGGGCTTTGATGATGGATGAGGTTCACAAGCCAAGGGATGTCAACAGTGTCTGGATGGTGGAGTAGGCAAAAAATTGATTCTCTCCTAGAGTCTCCAGAAGGAACATAGCCCTCTGACACCTTTATTTTGACCCAGTGTAAAAGTGAGACCTACCCCAAACTTCTAACCTGCAGAATTACAAGGTAATATATTTGTGTCATTTTAAACCACGAAATTTGCAGCAATTTATTTCAGCAGCAATAGTCAAGTAATACAATGTTTATTCCCCAGTGTTTAACTATACAGATTACTGGGTGCATCATACTCAGGACATGAACCGGTTTTATTAACTGGAAGAAAAACCTACGACATGGACTCTACAGGCACCTAATCATGTTGTACCCCTTTTCTTCACACAAATTAAATGTTGGAAGTCCTCTTGATAATCAAGACACACAAGTAACTTGGAAGATCCAATAATAGGTCATGTTTCAATTAGATGTGAAGTAAGTTGTTTGAAAGAAAAACAACTTAGTCTTGCCATGCACACCTTCCATAGCACTTACTTGCCTTTCATATGGAGAGATTGCACTGTTGTCCTAATATCTTGCCCCACCATCTGAAACATACCTAGTGATTGTTGTTTACTTGAAAGTTTGACCAGATGCAGTATCTAGTTGTTCAAGGGTGGAGCAAGACACAGGTAAGGATACTATTAAGAATAATACATACAAGCTTATTTGGTATAACCCAACAAAATAAATCTTTTTCTAAGAAAAGCTGATTAAAAATTGATCATATCAATTGCATTAGCCATTCCCAATGAAGAAAGTTTTAGATAGAATAAGTACATCAGAAATGCTGAGAATACAAGTAACTCAATCCCTATCTTCACAGCTATGTTATAGCTACTTGTACTACACCAAATGACAAACATAGACTTCACTAATATCATTTAAGTTTAAAGATATATGGGCAAAAACCTTGTTTGGGGCATCACCACCTCATTCCAATGCTTTCAAACAAATTGTTTGTTAGATTCTGAAAGGGTGGTGCAGACAGCTATCAAGTCTTGAATCAGATGTCTGGAGGATAGTAAATGACAAAACTTGCAAGATTTGTTCATTGCTTAGTAGGTCATTCCTACATTAAATGAGAAGTGTCAATCCTGCTTATTTCTTAAGAGCTATTCCAGGCTTAATAAAAAACTTACATCAGAAGTTATTCTTTGTGTTAGTCTATGTTCATTGTTTTTTCACTCATGTATTCCATAAGAGATTGTCTTTTCTTAGCAACTATGCCACTGAACCAGGGTGCATTAATTTTATAAATGATATCAGTGTCACTATTGCAAAAGGTTCAGAGGAAGGCTCAAACTGTGGCATCACCACGGTGACTCGCTGTGATGGAAGCACCCCAGGGGCAATGGACCACAGGAAAACCATTAGAAAGCTCTCCTCTGAGACATGTTGTTGTTTTTTACTCAGCCACTTAAGGAATGGTCAAGGCCACAAAGTCAAGGAAGCAATCACTCTTCTCTGACTATTACAAAGAATAAAATGGAGTCTCTGGGCTCTTCTACAACCATTTGCACTGACATAACCTTGAGAAAGGCTTCCCCATTTCTTACTGGAAAATTACTTTAGCAAGAGAGAAAAGGTCTTACAAGTGCCAAGGGGGCAGTAGTACATTACTAGCTTGTTTGCTCCCATTTTAAGTTTCTGTAGATTTTTTAAATGTTTCATCAGTTTGGACAGAAGTGAGGATGTAAATTTGGGGTTTGCAAAAAAGTGGCCTGAGGGACGGAAATGGGGACAAAGAGGGACAGGACAACTTCACCTAGATCAATTTTGTAGTAATAACAGATTTTATAGCAAAGACCTGTCATTTCTTGTTTCTTTGTAATTACCATTCAAAATAATAGAGACTAATTGTTAAACGTGATAACTAAAAAATAGGGAGATATTTATCAGAAGCCACTAACTTTTAAGAGATAACAAAGCTGTTAGAAAAAGCTTTTCCATTAAGTCTGGGAATTTGCTTTCATGCTGCTACTTCTGTGCTTTTAACTTCTGGAGTCAGTCTTACCAGTGGTTTTCTATTTCTTTCATATAATTGTATAATATATATCATATTATTCTATTATAAATATTAATATATTCTATTATATATACTTATTAATATATTGTATATGCCTATATATGTTATAAAATAAAACATATTTTATGGTTAACATTTGGAAACTAGTAAGGTTGACAGTACGCAGTTAATGCTAACCTAGCAACCTTCTGGGTACTAATATACTGTAAAGGAAAACCAATTTGCTAAGGCTATTAGCAAAGTAAAGCACATATTAGTCAATATTTTAAATAAGCTGCCTCCGGATGACTTCTCAATGACATGTCAGCCATGACGTCAACAGTAACCATGGTTTAGATTTATGTTATCACATACATAGGTTAGGGGAAATTGGTATTGAATCATTATCAAAAGTTAATGCCAGTAGGAACTGGTTGTATTTGACTTATTGCACGACTGCAGAATGTACCTCTAATCTTAGCTAGAAATTTTCTGAATTCATGTTACTGTTCAAAAAGATTTGAAATAAATAGGCCTAAATTACAAGTGTTATTGCAAACAGTAAAGAGTTCATAAATAGGATGTGAACTAAGTTAACTAGTTTTATATGTATACAAATATATATAAATAAATTATATATAAATGTATAAATAAATTATATATAAATGTATATATATAAATATGTACACATATTTAGAGGTTTAACTTTTCTTTTAAAATTCAATTACAGTGAAAAAAGCTTTTAGAAATAGCATATATTAGGAAATTGAAATGTTTTTTCTTCTGGTGCCTTTCCATATCTAAAGTCACTTTTTCCTTTTGCTTAGGAACAAAATAATATACTGTGTTTAATTTAGTTTGACCTATAAACTTATTGTTTTTCTTATTTTTGAAATAAAATACATGGAACTGTAAAAGTAAATAGGAAAATGTTCCAATTTCAGAGATGTGGGAAAAGGAAGAAAATATCTAGAAAGGTATCTTATTTTTACAGGGTAAACAAAACCTCACAACTTTTTATGTACTTACATATTTCTAAATGTGAAAATTTTCACAAATGTCACCTCTCCTTTGATTTGAGTACAATTATCCATGTAAACCCACACACTCATTTATCTTAAAATCCTTATTTCTAATTAAATTGCAAAAGGGTGTAAACATTCCAAACCAAGAGCAGGCTGTTCTCATTTATTATTGAAAGAACATGATGACCTCCTAATACATACATACACACAGAGGGACACATCACGACTCAGACCCAGGAAAATGTTGCAAGCCTTTGTTCAGTTACCACAAGCTAAGAGAGGGACAGTAAGCTACTCACAACCCCAAAAGGTTGTTATCCACCCAGTAAATTAAACCATGGGTTAGCCAACTTGTCCAGAAAGTATGATAGACTGTGATTAAGACCAACCCTTAGGCAAATTCTCCTTGCAATGGTTTTTTTCTGGCCTCAGAATCCTTTTCTGTGTATAGGAGAGGGAAGCATTATGAAGGAGAGCTGGTAGATCGAGCTGTTCACCATGGTCTCCCCTCCCCAGCTGGAAGCCAGATCTGGGCTAGAAGTCAAACTCAGGAGATCATAAATACACTCCACAGAAGTAGAGATCAGAGCACACAAAACAGTCCTGCCCTTTTCTTCACTAAGATCATTTAAATATATGTCTCCAGGCCCAAAGATAAGCTAAAAACCACTTGCCCAAAATGTGTGTGATAAACCACCTGGCAGAGTTTTATAGATCTTTGGAATAAGTTTGAGGCAGAATTCTGAATATGCAAAGATTAAGGCAATTATTATCTACAATGAGACTATGGCATGACTTGCCACATAGCCCAAAATTCTAGTCAGTTTAATTGAACCATTACTTATGGTTAATTTACTAGTCTTTGGATACAAGAATTTAAGAAGACATAGTTGAAGTCACATTATTAAATAATTGTTTCCCAAAATACATGTTCCTGAACTAATTGGAATAGACTAGAAATCATAGAAAATTCATGATCAACTCTATTAGGGGAAGAGTTTCTCATTCAGCCAGGTAACTATTTGTTCTTTTCCTGCAGTCATAGCACCTCTGCGTCACCCAATATGCTAGGTAGGATTTTCTCACTTAGTTGCCAGTTAGAGAAAAGCAAGGTAAATTAATATTAGAAAAAAAGTAAAAAGAAATAAGAATGAAGGGAGAGAAAAAAGAAGGAGGGAGAAAAACAAGGGAAAGTAATAGTAATACACTGGCTGAAATAACCAAAATGTGGAAAGGACAGCCTTAGGTGTGAGTGGCTCCAGAGGTTTCAACGATGCTACCTGGTATTTTTCCTTGTGCCACTTCTGACCAGCATTTCCAGAAAGCATGGAAGCCAGCCACCTGTAGCTTCAGATTTCTTCTTCTTTTTTTTTTTTTTTGGAGGTAAGAGTCTCGCTCTGTCGCCCAGGCTGGAGTGCAATGGTGCGATCTCGGCTCACTGCAACTTCCAAATCCTGGGTTCAGGTGATTCTCCTGCCTCAGCCTCTGGAGTAGCTGGGACTACAGGCGCCCGCCACCACACCTGGCTAATTTTTGTATTTTTAGGAGAGACTGGGTTTCATCATGTTGGTCAGGCTTGTCTTGAATGCCTGACCTCAAGCAATCCACCCACCTTGGCCACCCAAAGCGCTGGGATTACAGATGTGAGCCACCGTGCCCGGCCAGCTTCAGATTTCTATCCTCACCATCTTAGAAACCAAAATTATAAGCTCTGGTTAGAAAAATCACAGAAAAGAAAATCTGATTGTTTAGGTTTGTGATAGGTGTCTATGCTGGGATGAATCTCTGTGGCTAAGGAGAGAGAATTGCTAACAAGCAGTTAGCAATTCCCAGAGTGGGACCTGGAGAGGAGCAGGTCCCAGAGAAGAGGAGAGTGCTATGCCCCGAGGAAAAGGACACTGTGCAGACAAAACAGAAAATATCCACCCGATCTACTCAACATTTAAGGTTTATCGGACTCTGAAAAGAAAAAGAAAAAAAAGAAAAAACGGTAACTTTAGAGTTGAAAAGAATAATGGGAGTCTGTGATTCCAACTCTCCACCACTGTGTTCAATTCTGAGTACTATGTTTTAAAAGAGGCCTAGACAATTAAAGGGATGTGCAGAGCAGTGATGGCACTAGAAGGAACTGAAACTTATTACCTTACAAAAAGAGGACCAAAGACACAGTGGACTTCAATTATTTGAACAGTCTTTTCTGTAGGGAAAGATGCATATTTAGTCTGTGCTGCCCAATTCTAGGGCTCAGAAATGTAAATAATTGCCTATAGGATTCAGAAAGGTAACATAAGGGAGCTAACCAGATGTTGAAAAAATGATAGTACATGCATGATAATGAACGGCAAGTATTAGCCCTAGGATATGCAAATCTCTAGGCAGTGGAGGACTGTTGAGACCTGGAGAACTTGTTCTTCATCTCAAGGAGGCAACCCCCACTAAGGTCCAGTTAATTGTTGCCCTGTGGAAATGTGGGTGCAGTATTTCAAGACCATACTTTTCCAAAAAGAGCCACAAAAACCTTTTTTTTGTGTGAAAACTCTCAATTTCTTCAATGTTGGCTCATTATTTTTAAAAACACCTTGTGGGTCAAGCAAAATACAGTTTTGAAAAAGATCCCCCTTGGGGCTCCAGATTGAAATCCCTGCTCCAAAATGTAGAGCTAGTGACTCAAAGTTCTTAAGAGTCGAGTTTTTCATCTTTATAATTTATTTATATTTTAATAATTAGAAGTCTTTGGTAATGATGTAGTAGATGCCTTGTGAGGTAGTAAATATGCTGTCCCCAGAAACATGTACAGAGAAGCTGCTGACCATCACTAAGGAACACTGTGAAGATAAATTCTGCATTAGGTGGTCGTAGAAGCCCAAAATGAAGGTCTACAGATTGCCTCTGAAATTTTTTAAATGAGAACAGAAAATGTTCTCTGTGAGAGATTCTAAAGAAGTAGAAGATAACACGTGAAGACTTTATATAATCTAACTGGGACTTAGACACATTGGTGAAAGAGGTAATAATGAAAGCCAAAGCAACACAATATTTCTAAGTACAGGCAAGACCACATGGAACATATATGTGTCACAGGTCCTGGCAATGGGATAGGATTGTAATAGATGTAAGTCCAAATCTCTTTCTGTCTAGTTAAAAAAAAAAGGTTGAGGGAATGTTTCTGGCCCTATGCCATGCTTTGGGATGTTTAGTATAAAGGTTTTGATGGTTAAGTGTCCTGGATTCATGTCCTCACTCATGTTACTCTTGAGTAATGTGACCGTGGACAAGTCCCATGCCTCACTCTCCAAACAACTTGAATGAGTTACCATCATCTCAAATTCAATATTGCTAAAATAGTATTCCCTACTTTCCTTTCTTCTTAGGCTCCCTTTCTCGACTTCCCCATTTCATGTGAAGCAGTCAAATTCGACCTCTTCCTAGATTCCCGTGGCTCATCATTTGTCCACCACAACAAGGGACATCTCTGAGATGACTTCATGAGCAATAAGCTAAAGAGGAAATCTGGGTTCATAGTGTAGGAGGACAAAGTAAGGAACTTCCAACTGACACCAAAGACAACGAGGTGCCCAGAATGAGAAACAGGCCTGTTGCTGAGCCACAGGCCTCGTAAAGGAACACTCGGCAATACAAAAACCAAACCAAAGCTCAAAAACTCCTCCACACAGACCAGGTAACTTCTGAGACCAGGACCATTCTCTTCCCATTTTTGCCTGTAGAATTTTGGGCAAGGACAAAGGTTTCATCTTCTGGTTGTAGGTGTGCCCCTCAAACCTCTATGTAAAAGTGAATATTTATATATCAAATCATATATATTTATTAAACTCAACTATAGCTTCTGACATGCTCCCATAAAGAAAAAAATGGCTACTACCCATATTAAAAACAGTTGTATAGCATTGGAGATATACCTAATGCTAAATAATGAGTTAATGGGTGCAGCACACCAACATGGCACATGTATACATATGTAACAAACCTGCACGTTGTGCACATGTACCTTAAAACTTAAAGTATAATAATAATAAAATTTAAAAAAGTTGTAATAATCCTCCTAACATTGTCATAGCCTGAATATATTTAATTTATAAATAAAACAGTGACTACAGAAACATTAGTTGAATAGTCAGTGTAACCTTAAAATTTGTTTAAATGTGATACATGTAAAATTTGTCCTACAAATTCACTGCAGAGCCAGGCATAATAGCTCATGCCTATACTTCCATCTACTCAGGAAGATGGAGCGGGAGGATCGCTAGAGCCCAGGAGTTTGAGGCTGCAGTGAGCTATGATCGCACCACCCATCTCTAATGAAAAAAAAAAAAATTCACACCAAAATTTATTTATTTTTTTCTAACTGGTAAGATATTTCTGTCTTTCTCAGTGGGATTGCCCAGCTGTCAATAAATATTATTTGACTAATAACTAATTGGTAATAAACAATACCTATATTTTAACTGAGAGGCACTTCAGCAGAGTGAATAATAGCCTGACCTCTGGAGTAAGACTGCCTGGATGCACATCCTAGTCACCATCCTCTAGCTGTTAAGTTTCTTTTCTTTTTTTCTTTTCTTTTTTTTTTTTTTTGAAACAGAGTTTCACTTGTTGCCAGGCTGGAGTGCAGTGGCATGATCTTCGCTCACTGCAACCTCCACCTCCCGGGTTCAAGCGATTCTGCTGCCTCAGCCTCCCGAGTAGCTGGGATTAGAGGCATGCGCCACCATGTCCGGCTAATTTTGTATTTTTATCAGAGATGGGGTTTCTCAGTGTCGGTCAGTCTAGTCTCGAACTCCTGACCTTAGGTGATTCGCCTGCCTCGGCCTCCCAAAGTGCTGGGGTTACAGGCAGCTGTTAAGTTTCTTAACTTCTTTATAGTTTCCTGATTTATAAAAGAGTAAACCTACCTGATAGGGTGTGATAAGGATTAAGTAATATATATGAGGCAGCACCTGACATATAGTTAGCAATGTGTACTGTGAACTATTATTATCATCATCTCTTGCCTTACAAAAATCCATTCATCCAATAAGTATTCACCAGGCTGTATCTTCTGACCCAGGCCCTGTACCAGGCACAGTAATATTTTTAGCATTTTGGGGCCTGACTTTAGTGTAGGCAGTGCATTCTCAAGTGTAAAAATCAAAGAGTAAGATGGAAGTGGGTGCAAGCCTCCTTCACCTACCTAATTAAATGCATAAATCAGAAATGACACTGAGTTTGCTTCAAGGGGAGCTGACCCATAATCTGTTGCTGAAATTTACAGTTAGATGGTTCCCCACTCAGGTTGCTTGTGCCACATCTACATTAAATTTGCATCCGGCTTAGATTTCTGTATTAGATGATGCTTCTAATTTGTGTTTTGGGTTAAGGCCCAGCTCCCAGTGTGTGCAGAGAGAGTGACGAATGAGGAGGCCGTGTTATCAGAAGGCCGGGTGGGACAGAGTTCTGATGTGAGTATGGTGTGCCAGCTCTCACATGTCTATAGCCCAGGCCAAAATCTGCCCTCAGTTATGCATGCACAGCTTGCATTGACGTCAGTAAGAACTGTGCTCATGTAACAGGAGGCAGAAATTTGGCTCTTTGATTTTAATAGAATTAAATGCCAAAAGTTTTGCTGGTGCAAGTTGCAAATGTAATCCCCAAGGGTCAGGAAAATGCAACAGAATACTGTTCTGTTGGCAATCTCATCTTTTGCACAGGCCATATAATTAAATGACTAAATTTCTCATGCTTAACTTGGAAGGCCCTAATGCTATTGTGCCTATGTGTTGTGTGTGGCCTCCCATTGCAGTCAGACCTTTAAGAATGATTCCAAGATTTGGTCTGTGGCTTCAGATAAAAGCCTAACACATAGCCCTAATTCATTGTCTGCTGTAGATTTGATTTCTAGTCTGGGTCTTAACAACAATGCCAAAATCAGCTGGTGGTGCTGAACAGACTCCACTCCCCACCTTAGATGATCGGTGAATTAAGTAATGACATTTAGAAGCCTAGCATTCTTAGAGTATTCAGTCTAAGTTTCAGTCTAATTTATGTTCAGACATACCCATAGCTTTGTCTTAATATTTATGTGGCTTTGGAAATTTAATTTAATTTTGTGCAATGATGTTAACAATTGGGTTTCCCAGACCTGAGCATCTGGTAATAAGGTTTTGAATGGTAAAACACAATTAAACAGCAATATTGAGCCAGGCCAATAATCCAAAAAAATTCTCTAACTAAGATGTTTCTGCTTCCTTTAACCAGCTATTCAAAGTCATATTTCCTGCTTTGAGTCCAGAGAAGTAGGATTTTCTCCTGAACTGTTTATTTAGAACTTAGATGGATGCATGCCCAAGTGTGTCTCCCATTCTGTGAGTTTCCTTGTGGATGACATAACCTAGCAGAGCCTTCTGAGCCACTTGTCACTTCTCACTTTCTTCTCTCCAGAAGAAGACTGGGTTTTGTGGATGGTAAATTTGGGAGAATAGAACACATCCAATCCAGCCCTTTCCTCCTCTCACTCTCTTTGTGGTATCTTCCTGCCTGCAAAGAATATGTATTCTTCTCTGCTCTCATGCTATTGGTTTTGCTCCTGAGAAGGGAAGCAGCATTGCCTGTGACTGGGGGTGAGGTCTGTTTTGTTCAGGAGATTGGTATTCATAAATCCAGCACACATAAGCCATGTTCCTCAATAGCTTCAGGAGCAATAGAGCTGCCATCTTGACATCTGTCAATTCAATACTTTAATGAGTGGAGGTTGCTGTACAAAAACTCATTCGCTAATGTTTGAAACTGACATATTAAAAACTAACAGTCTAAGAGCATTACTTAGAAAGAGGGAGGCAAATATCAGGGGTTGAAAGTGATTGCCCTTGAAAATCAGATTCAGGGGTGCAGAGTAGGAAAGAGCAAGAGATCACTGCCCTCACTCTACTTCAAAGTTCAAACTTGTTTTGATATGGCATGAACAATTCATGATTCCACACTCCACCATATCATGGAATCATAATCACATTGCAGTAGGAGAAACTTTAATAGGTTTTCTTATCCAGTGTTTTTCAAACTGAAAGTCATAATTGGTTAGCATATTATATAATCAATTTATTGGATTGTGACCAACATTCTTTACTGAAATAAATAGAATAGGATAAAATAGATCACACTAGAGGGTATTATCCTGAATCACAACAGAAAATATATTTTCTATTGTGGATTGTAATTAAAAATATTTCAAATCTATTCAGTTCTTCTAAATTTCTATTCAACCTTCAACCTGTTCTTCAGTTCTCTTAAGGATAATACTCACTCTATCCACCAAGCCAAGGAGTGATAAATTAGATTATGCAAATAAAATGCTTTGGAAACCATTAAGCTCAAACCATATGTAAGGTATTATTATAATTACTTTATGATTACTTTATGATTATTATAATTGAGAAACATCTGAGCTAGCTTACTTTCAAATCTGAACATCTCTCCAACGTGAAAGAGTAGCCACAGTCCCACCACTACCCCCACCACACTCACACTCCTCCAAGGAGCTACTGATGCTATGTAGTGTGTAGGCAGAGCCCCAGATAAGTTGGGCTTAGAAACAAAGGAAATTCTGACCTGGAAGCACCTTTATGTTGCAGAAAAGGATAATAGTTTTGACAAACCTTGATGTTACACAGACTGGGATCCAAATTTAGCTCTTCCACTGACTAACTATATGACTTGAGGCAAATTATTTAATTTCTAGGAGTCTCAGAATATCATCAACATCAAAACAACTATTGTTATATATTCTGAAAATACCAAGAAAATATTTTTCTCACTCTTAGTGGAGAAACTAAAGGCCACTGAGGAGACAGAAATCCTGCCTAAGCTAAGAGGCAGCATAGCAGAGAAAAGAAGGAGAACGACCGTGTCTAAGCCAACTCTTCAGCCATCTGTGCATGGCTGTGCAAGGGAGACATACAGCACTGGGCTCTCTGCACCCATGCTCTGTGAGCACCATTGAGTCTGCCCTCTAGTTGTAGGGATGTTTGTCATTGGCAAATCCTCACATCTTGCTGTTTCCAATCTCATTCATTTGACCCATTGGCATTTTGACACAGGATTCCATGCTTGATGTTCAGGAGCATCCTGTGGACATAAAACCACAAGCTTTCCCAGAATTAAAGAGCCTGGGTTCTGCTGTGTTTGACAAGTGCAGGGCATAGAATTGGAAGTCCTCGGCTCATATTTCATTTCTGCCACTTCCTCATGTGACCTTTGCTAAATCATTTCATGTCTGTATCACATTTTCCTCCTTCAATAATACCAGATGAAACCAAACAGAAACTCCAGGATTAAAGTGCCCTGAGTAAAAATTAGAAATACTTGCATTTCCCAAAACAGAATGATGCTAATAGGAGCAAAACAAATAACTACTAATGCTTTTAAGGAACTAATAGTAATAATAAATACTGTTCTCTTTTGATGTCTACCTTTACCATACATATAAAATAGCAACAATGTTTATTTTTCTCATGTATACATCTTATCAATTCAAATAACTTCCTTTGACAATGATCACCTTTCACAATCTGGTTCTACCTACAATTTTTTACTGAATTTTTTATCTTTCCCCCAATCTGCTCATTCAATGCTGTGGCCACACTCAGCCTCTACATTTTCCAGACATGTCGGACATGTTCGTAACTCTGTGTTTTTTCTCATGCAAATATCTTCCTCCCTCCTCTAACTCCATGCTTATGTTCAAGCCCAGCCTAGATGTCACACCTCATCTATGAAGACAGCTCCCAACTCCTCTCCAAATGAAACTAATTTTTCCCACTTCAAGACTCCTATAGCATCTAATCCACACAGATAGTGCATGACATACATCAGAATATATCACAGCTCTATGTTCTTCCTCACCAGACTGTTAGCTTCTTGAAGACAGAGACTGACCCATGTATATTTGAATCTCCAGCCTTTCCATAGTGCCTGGCACTTAGCCAGCATGTAGTAAATGTCTGATCAAAGAACAAAGTTATCTCGACTTCTCAAGAGCTACAGTCTTCAACAAGGTTATGAAATAGAGATTCATTCTTTCTCCTTTGGGCAGCAAAGCCAGTTAGAGAACCAGCCCTTGGTGAGGTTACAGGCAGAGCCAGCATGTGATCATGTGTAAATCAGGTTTCAGGCTAAGAAAATCACCACATAGTCACCAGACATCTTGTGGTAGGTAAGTTAGTCCATATTTCAGACTGGGATGCATGGTAACAAAAACCAAAACAAAGCCTTATTTGGGGCGTTGGGAACCTGAGATCGAGCTAGACTGTGGGCTCCTACCACAGATATGGTGTGACCTTAGGAGAAACAGTCAAGTGGCCTGGGTCCTTTGAACTTTTCTCATGACAGTGCAAGTCCACACTAGGGAGAACTGAGCCATAAGGGAGCCAGCTGATTCCTGCACTGGCTTCTTTGAACTCTGGTCATTTCAGACAAACATGCTCCCTGAGCAATCCGCATCAACTAATGGAGTCTGCATCCCTGAAGGGAGAAGATGAACACACATGAAATATTTGGAAGAAAATGCACGGCAACATATAACCTAGGACCAAAGTATGCCAAACAGACATAGGTTTCCTGCTTTTATGATTCTACATTTGTATCACAAATATAAGCTGGGACAGTTTTACAGGCAAGCAGAGAGGACAATTGTTTTTGTTGTGGAGCTTCAGCAAAATGGAAATACCTTTCCTGTTCTCCCAGCCCTATCCCCAAAATACCTCTATTATCAGGCTGCCTGCAAACTGAAGATCCAACACTAAAGGTCTATCACTCATTTGAATTGACACTTCTTGTTTTTATTAAATTCCCCTGGAAGGGATAATGCATTCATCATAGGATAAACTAGTTTATCAAATCCTTTGAAAGGTAGAAGATAGAGCAGAGGGGTCCTGGGACCTCAGTGGAAGAAAGGCTTATCATTAATGGAAAAAGAGAACCAAAGCAAAAAAAAAAAAAGACACTTAAAAGAAACTTTGCTTCTTTCCAAAACTCCCAAAGGACTTACTCTAAAAGTAACATGGCCCAAGTAGCACCTGTTCTAATCTGTTCTAATAATGACAGCCTTGTTTTCCTGGAGTCTGGTCTAGCTGGCATAGAACAAGATCCAGAAGGAGCTCCTGTCTGAAGTCGTTTCACAAATTCACCTAAACCAATCTGACAAATATTTATTGAATATATACCACATGCTAGGTCCTTTGATAAGATGCAGAGATAAATAGCTGAATGAGCATCAGTCCTTGCTTTTAAGGAATTAATGATGGGCAGACAAATATATAAACGAATAAGTCTCATTTAGTGCCATAGATGCTATGGTCAATATAAAGCTCAAATTACAGAGAAGGCAGCAATGGACCTGAGCTTGTCCAATTTTTCACAACTTTTATTTCTTGGCACTAAAAATAAATCACTAAAAGGAGACCCACATACCTAGACTACAAAGCTAATAATCCTAACATGATTCTGATCTTCTACAGGGAGAGCAGACACAGAGGATTATATAGTCAGAAAGCTTGCCCCAAATCTGCAGTAGCTGCCATAGGACTCCAACATATGGACAGCTGCTGCAGATTTCAGGCATTTACCTACCAATTATAACGTGTCACCAGCCTCTCTGGAGAACTAAGAGGATCAATATGGTAATATCTCCAAAGCATGTTACTTCTGAGTGAAATCTACTTTCTATAAAGTATTCATAAAGGGTATTTGACTCAAGGCCTTGGAGACTGCAGCCCTTGGGAAGCTCCTCTATGCATTAAAATCCCATACATTAGAGTGGGGAGGTGCTAAGACCAGTTGTTTGAACTTCAATTCCAACTCATGGCTGGTCTTGAAATCAATTAACCAGGCCACAACATGCAATTTTTAAATTATGTATTAGAGAACAGAACAGGGCATGATAGAAAATATCAGGATATAGCATATATAGTAGTGTTAACTATTGTGTCATAAAACTTATCTTTTTGTTACATTCATGAATGTGACAGCTCGTGTTTGCGTATGGGCACACATCACATGCATACACACTTGGTCACTATGTAAAGTATGGGTGGTGATCCACAGTTTGAAAATCACTGCATTAGACAGCATGTACCCCAACCTTATTATACAGATGAGAGTACGCAGATCCAGAGAAGTTAAAATACTTGCCCAGAGTTTTACAGTTCATTAGTGGCAGAGTTAAAACTAGAACCAGTGTTCTACCTAAATCTAGAACCAGACTCCCACTTCAGTGCCTCCCCAACCCTAACACAATGCACCCAAGATTCTGATGGAGAGGGCAGGTGATGGCAGAAGGCAAAAAGAGAACAAGGAGGAAGTGGGGGAGAGAGGAACCAAACCTTTGCGTCTTCTTTCACCAATATACACTAACCATACTGAACTTCTCTCAAGCCCATGAACAACCATGTTTCATTCACAAAGGAGTAGAACAAATGATAGTATTTACAAAGTGCTCGCTGTTTGCTATGGGCCTTCCATTGTGCTGGATGTTTCGCATCTGAACCCTATATAAAGTAGATAATCTTATCATCCCAATTATTAGGGTGAAGAAGTGGAACCTAAGAGAGTTAGGGGCTGGTATTAAGTCATACAGCTGCTGAGTGACTAAGCCAAGATTGTACTCAAATCTAATTTCGAAGACACTCTTGTACACCCTCTCCACCATCACTCTGCTTCCAGAGGCTCCCATACTATAACCATTTTTTATCTATACATACTTCTAAGTTAATTTTATATGTTATATAAACCAATATATATGGGGATAGATAGATGATAGATAGATGTAAAATCTCAAATCCTCATTATTTTCCACAATTCAATTCATATATTATTGGATAAAGCTATAACATCCATAAGAGTAATGACTTATGACCCAACCAGCTCTACAATTCTCTTATTTAAAAAAAATAAAAAATAAAAACAAGGGAAGATGCCTACAAAAGTTTAACTACACTGGGAATTGAGGATTACCTGGGCCTATTTTCTATCCACGCAGAACAGCTAGAGAAACAACAATATCATGCAGATAAAATAGAATAATAACATGAAGGTTTAATATCTCCATAGATAATTTGGCTGCTTACCCTTAAAACAGAATTTAAAAACAGCCCATTCCATTTTTTCTACTTACCTGCCTAAAATCCCAGGTAGGATTTCCACATCAACCTCGTTGTTTCTGTTGAAATTAGAAGTGTCCTCTTAACTCAGTATTTCAGTTTAAAATTGAGAGACTGGATACTATCAGCCCTTGGCCCAATTATCTTATTTTTCACTTCTTCCCTGTCCCTTTTATTGCTTCTCTTGTGTTATTTACACATATCTGACCCCTACTTGACTCTAAACCCTTTTGGGGAACAGGAATCACATTTTATTTGTCTTTGGCCTCAACCTCTACCCCTACAAGGTCCTAGACCAGGCCCTTGTAATAGTCACACTCAATAAATGCTTATTAGAGTCAAGACAATGAATTCTTGGTGAACCAATCCAGCCTAATTATCTCACCAGGTCTAGCTGTTGCAGAACAGGCCATGTTTATTCCATCAATACTGACCCCAGCCCTGGCCACCCACTTGGCTATTTCTGATTTCTAATCATGCTTTAGGACTTTTACTTTGGAAATTCAACAACTCACTTCCCAGTTGGATTCTGAGTACCTGGCCAAGGTTGCCAAAATCAAACCAACTCTAGCAAAGAACAGTAGCAAGGTCATCAGGTCTTCCAGGAGTCAGTTTTCCACAGTGAGAAGGTAGGCTCTGGGGAAGATGTGGAGATTTGGAAGCTGCAGGCTTTCTGAATGTTGCTGGAGGTAGAGCCTGTTTCAGAGGAGTGCACATGGAATGATGTCTCTAGGGTAGACTTTGGTCAAGATGGCCTTGACCAGCAACCCAGCCACTATTGACACAGAGGGCCACCTTTTTAGAATTGCTTATTTTGCTGATTCTTAATAATTACATTTATCCATATTTTATAAGATACGTTTTTAAATAGTTGATGTCAAATTATCTGAGGGTGCTGGACTGAGGGAGAGAAGAGGACTTTTCAGCTCTCTCCTTTTTTGAGGATCTGTGGAGGCCCTTTTGGCCATGTTTTCCTGGTTCTTAATCTCATACTTCACAGTTTTTCCAGATTTGGTTTCACTTCAATTGTTTCCTTTTTTTTTTTAAATCCACCCACTTCCCCCTCTCACATTAGCTCCTTTCCCTACACCTGTAAACACTATCGAGCTATCTAATTACAAAGCCTCCTTCTTCAGAAGTCCTCACGGGCTCTCCAAGACCTCCTGAACTTCAAGTGTGCTTTTTTTCATGCTCGCATTTAAGACCAACCACAATCTAGTCCCATTGTGCCTCTCCCTCTCATCGTCCTTTGCTGGATCCATGCCTATAGGCATACCCCACAGTGGACTGCTCACCTGGTTTCAAAAAGTACCTGAGCTTTCCTGCATCTAGGCCTGTGCTTGTGATTTTCCTCCATTTGAAAGCCCTCAGTTTGCTCCCCACCTAGAGAATTAAGATTTCACTCAAATGCCACTTTCTTTGTGAAGTCTTTCTTAATTTCATAAAGTTGATACAATTTCTCTAACTTCCAAATCTCAGTAACACTTGATGCCAAGAACTTCTCTTGTTGTACATATTCTACAGTGCACTGTAGAGATGTCTGTACCTGTCTAAGCATCCTTACTAGATTGTATACTCCTTGAGGTCAAGGGCTATGTGTTATACCATCTCTAAAATATCCCAGGCTCTGGCACAGATTCTCACACATATTAGTAAAGAAGACATTAATTCTTTGATTTTTTAAAAGTATTTTTGAGCACCCATGAAGGAGATCGAGATATGCCACTCCAAAACATGCTACTTTGGCATAAGGATTATTTTGAACTAAAGGCAATTGATAAACAAGAGATGCAAGAAAAGTTCTCTATCTTTCCTTTATCTGCCTAAAAGCAGGGCATAAATTTCCCTTTGAGGAGGGTACCTCACGGTACAAGGAAGAAGAGACTGATTCATCACTGGAGACAGGGAGTCACACCAAGATGAATTTATATAAACAAACCTTACTAAAATAACCCTTAACTTCCATTAGTTTCTTCCATATATTTCCTAGTCATTTTCCCACAATTTATCACCCCTAGAAGCCCAAATCCCCTTTCCTTTGTGTAGTCACTCCTCCACAATTTATTGCCCTTTGTACATAAGCCTCCAAGTCTAAATGCTTCTTTGAGTTTTCACTTCTTTTCTGTGAAATTTCATGTATATAAAAAGATTAACATCAATGAAAGCTGTATGCCTTTCCTCTTGTTAATCTGTCTTTTGTCAGTTTAATTTTCAAATTCCCAATCACTGAATTTAAGAAGATAGAGGATAAATTTTTCCTCCCCCCGCCTACTATATGACAGGCATTAAGAATGCATCAGTGGCAAAATAAACAAAAATCCTGCTCTCTTGCAGCTTATATCTATGTATTTCAGTAGGGTGGTAGGAAATAGATAATAAACTATATATATATAATGCCAGGAGTGGTAAGTGCTATGAAGAAAATAAAGTCGGTGAACAATTCTTTAAAAATATATATGTCCAAATATGGTTATAAGAAAATGCTTCCCTGAGTAGGTGATATACAAGCAAATAATTGAAAGAGTGGGAGAGTGAATCATGTGGCTTCTAGGCACAGGGAAGCATAGGTGCAAAGATCTGAAAAGTTATATGGCTGGAGCATTTGAGAAATAGCAAGAAGTCCAGCATGGCTAGAATGGAGTGACACAGAAGAAAAAAGATGAGATCAGAGACGTAATGGGGAGACACATCATTAGGGACTTGAAAGCCATTATTAATAAGGACTTTTACTCTGAGTGAGATGGAAATCACTGGAGGGCTTTAAGCAGAAGACTGATGTAATCTATCTTATATTTTTACAAGGACACTTTAGCTGCCTTGCTGATGCTGAGATTGTGGTAATAAAAAGGCCAGAAGATTTCTGTTTCCCAGTCCAGCATGTGGGAAGCTTGGAAGTTGTCACTCTGTACTAACAAGTAAAAAGTGGAACAACTTGAAAAATCAACAACTCTTTTTACTTCTAAGAGAAGTGGAGCCACAGAGCAAACCATTGCCCCTTAAATTGGAGAGACTGATAGGTGAATATAGAGACTCATAACTTGCCAGAGCAGAAACCGCCATAGAAACTGGTGCTGGGGCAGGAAAGAAGTGAAAACTCAAAAAGCACAGTCTAAAGAGACAGATCAGGAATAAAAACCACACTCAGATATGGCAGAGTTGGAATTACCAGACTGGGAATTTAATACAATTATGATTAATAAGCTAAAGGTTCTAATGGATAAAACAGATGACATGCAAGAACAGACAGGTAATGTAGAGATGTAGAGAGATGAAAGTTTTAAGAAACGACCAAGAAGAAATGCTAGAAATCAAAAACACTAAGGGAAATGAAGAATGCCTTTGAAGGGCTTAACAGTAGACTAGACATGGCTGAGGAAAGAATCCCCGAGCTTGATGAAATATCAATAGAAATTTCTGAACTGCAAAGCAAACCGAAAAATGGCTGAAAATAAAACCTGAACAGACTATCAAAGAACTGTAGGACAACTACAAAAAGTGTAACATATGCATAATGAAAATATCCAGAGAAGTGAAAGAGAAAGGAGCAGAAAACATATTTGAAAGACTGACTGGTAATTTCCCCAAAATTAGTGTCACACATTAAACGACAGATCCAGGAAGCTCAGAGAATAGTAAGAAGGACAAATGCCAGAAAAAAACTACACATACACATATATATTATTTTCAAACTGCAGAATATCAAAGGCAAAGAAAAGTCCTGAAAGAATCCAGAGGGGGAAAAACATGTTACCTACAAAAGAGCAAAGATAGAAACTGCATCTGACATGTCCTCAGAAACTATGCACATAGGAGGAGAACGGATTGAAATTAAAGTGTTGAGACAAAAGTGCCAAAGCAGGAAATCTAGTCAGGAGACAATGCCAGTGTCTAGGTGAGAGATAAAGATGGGTTGGACCAGGGAGGTAGTAGTGGATGTGGTCCAATTCTGGGTATATTCTGTATGTAGAACCAATACAATTTGCTTTCAGGTTAAATATGAAATATTAAAGAAAGGTTTACTTCACTGTTTTGGCCTGAGCAACTGCAAAGGTAGAGTTGCTATTTACTGAAGACTAGGTTCACAGGGTGGAAAGCCCTCCCCTCAGGAGCCATTGTGGACGAGTTGCAGCTTCTCCCCATTCCCTCTATGACATCTCTTCACCACTGGCAATCTTCCCTTTCTTGAGGCAACCACGCCCCATTAAAAGATGTCTGAGGCTGGGTGTGGTGGCTCATGCCTGTAATCCCAGCACTTTGGGAGGCCTAGGTGGGTGGATCACAAGGTCAGGAGTTTGAGACCAGCCTGGCCAATATAGTGAAACCCCATCTCTACTAAAAATACAAAAATTAGCTGGGCGTGGTGGCAGGCACATGTGTTCCCAGCTACTCAGGAGGCTGAGACAGGAGAATCGCTTGAACCCGGGAAGCGGAGATTGCAGTGAGCCAAAATCACACCACTGCACTCCAGCCTGGGAGACAGAGCCAGACTTCATCTCAAAAAAAAAAAAAAAAAAAAAAAAAAAAGATGTCTGAGTTTCACCTAAGGGAGGAGAAGGGCTCCTTCCTTTTTTCAGTTTCCCTAGGCCCTAGTAGTAGCTGCTTTTTGCATTTAGTACTTCTATATCCCTCAAAGTCCTTTTTTACCTCTTCTCTTAACCAATACATTAGCAAAACAATAGGCTAGCATAAAACAATTCTTTGTATTGTATTTGTTTCTGTTCAGATCACTAGTGTCGCTTCTGATTGGGCGCTGACTGATACAGTCACAGAGAGGGAAAAAGAACCAGCAAAGGAGCAGTCAGCAAAGGACAAAGACAGGTAGGGGACCTGGAATCCCAAGTATAGAAAACATGGCAAGACTAGAGAAGTGATCCAGTATGTCCAATGGCACTGATGATCATGTACGAGGAGGAATGAGAATTCACCATGCTCTTCAGCCACATGGAGGACATTTGGTAACCTTGAAAAGGGCATCCGTCACCTTTACCATGCAGCATCTTGCCCTCAATTCATGGTACTAGAGCTCTGATTTTCCTTAGGATGCCCCCATCCTCCTCCCTCATTACATGTAGTTGGGTAGGTTTGAACCCAGAGCAGGGCATGTGACCTAAGCCTGGTCAGAGTGCCACACTTCTTGGTTACTGTGATCAGTTCAGGGATGATGAGCACATAACCCAAGTTGGTCCAATAAGATTCAAACCAAAGACTTTTACTGGAGCATCTGGGAAAGAGGAATTATTTCCCTACTGAACATCAAGCTGAGAAGATAGGCTATAAGCCCAGAGATACTAGCAGTCATCTTGCCACCAAAAAGGTAGAGTCTGCCTGAAAATAAAGCCAACACAGAGAAAACAGAGCCAGGAAAAAAATAACAAATTCTTATGGTATTTCAGTGATCCTTGTATTTAGCTGAGCCTGAAGCTGTCCCTGGGCTTTTTGGTTACATTAAAAACCTCATTTTTCCTGTTCATGCCCGTTGGAATTTAATGATCTTCACTTACAACCAAAAAGTTAAGAGCAAAATAGTAACAATGTTCAATTAGCGACTATAGAAGTAAAAACAATTGATGAGTTTAGTGACTCGCCCAAAGTATCCATGATGAAGTTGAATCTATAAGACAGGTCTCCTAACTCTAAATAAACAGTACTTGCCACTATATCAAACTCTCCTCTAATAAAAGCAGCTGCATTCATTATGACTGACATTTACACAGAACACCTAAAGACTGCCATTATTCGGCTTAGGGAAGAAAAGGATTTGGACTAATAGATTTCAGTATGATTGGGAGACTTTTCTGAATTGCGTTGAATGGCTGTCCTCTTTTACCTCTATGCAGTGAGATTTTTTCACAGTGAAGAAAAGAGAATTTCAGAGTGGTGTGGCATTGTGATCAAAGGAATTAGAAAAACTCTTTGTTTTGGTATTAATTAGGAAATGTGTACAGATAGAACCTTTTAAATGCATCTATTCTTGTCCGGCTGTGGTGGTTCACACCTATAATCCCAGCACTTTGAGAGGCTGAGGCAGGTGGATCACTTGAGGTCAGGAGTTGGAGACCAGCCTGGCCAACATGGTGAAACCAGATCTCTACTAAAAAAAAAAAATACAAAGTTTAGCCAGGCATAGTGGTGCACACCTGTAGTCCCAGCTACTCAGGAGGCTGAGGCAGGAGAATTGCTTAAACCTGGGAGGTGGAGAGTGCAGTGAGCCGAGATCGCGGCACTGCACTCCAGCCTAGGTGACAGGGTGAGACTCTATCTCAAAAACAAACAAAGAAAACAAAACAATAAAAGCATCTATTCTTGTCCAAGATCAGAGGAGTATAAGTCATAGCCTTGATTTTTATCTTAGCCCCAAATGCTAGGATTAAAACTGATTTGCCCCTTTGATGAAGTCTGCAGCAGAGAATAAGCTAATTTGACAACTGGTCACCTCAGCAATGGGTAGCTGAGGAAATCTACTTCCTGAGTCAGTCACAAGTGCATGTTAAACCACTGTTTTTCTCCTGGAAACCTTGCCCTGGCCACACTAGATGTCCCTGGTTGGATATAAATTTAGATCTTTGTGAGGTAGACAGACTATTCCGTCTCAAAGCTGCCACACGGCATCACTCCAGAGCCATGTCGAAGGCCCCGGCATAGGAGGACAGCACGATGGCCCTGTTGCCAAAAAGGTGCTTTGTCTGTGTGTGTGTGTGTGTGTGTGTGTGTGTGTGTGTGTGTGTGTGTGTGCTTTAAAATCTCAGCGCTTAAATCAACCAATGAAATATTCATGGAATCTAAAGTAGTGGGCAAACTAACGGCTTCCTTATGGGAATATCAATATTCTTGGAGCCAGTCTTAATCCAATATTCAGAAAGCTTCTCTTCCCTCTTCGTCACTTTACGTTCAAACTTATTTTCAGAAACCCTCCCCTCTTTCACAATCCTGCTCCATTAATAGAGTGGGTGGTGCAGGTAGGCCAAGGGCAGAACGAGGTGACAAGAGGAAAGCGCTGTGGGGTGGAGGTGCAGGCCTAGGAGAGAGGAGTACTCCCAGATGCAGTCACAGGTACGCCCAGGAGAGGCGTTGAAGGTGGCTGCTGTGGGAAGGTGGAGAATATGTGCACAGTCGGGTGACTGGCTTTAGTGTTTTCGTCTGGTCTGGTCTATGATTCCAGGTATGAACGTAGGATTTTCCTTGCTGGCAAGATGGCAAGAGCCTGAGGGAGGGGTGGGGAGAGGGAGAAGGGGTGGTCCTAACTAGTGTCATGGAAGGAAATTACTGCTGGAGAAAGAAAATATTTTCCTTCATCCATTCTCTGTGAAATGTGTATGCCCCTCAAGAGTGTAGAAAGAGGTACAGGATGAGCATCTGTAAGGGCAGACCTTGCCCAGCAGACAGCTCCCGGTGCTCATGATGTCCCCTGCCTATCCCCTTCCCCACCTGGCCCTTCCAGCCTTCCCGCCTCCATGCCCCACCACCTACTTGCCTTCCCTTAAGGTGGGGTGGAATTCTACATTCTCCTTTCCCTGCTTAGCCTCTCAGTTCGGACTGCCAAAAATGGGGCCAGTTAGGATGGTGGTTTCCTGATGTGGGTACCTGTCCCTCAGGACTGGAATCAGGCCTGCCAGCTCATTCCAGGTCAGCCTGCCCAAAAGCCATGGAGCGGCCCTCTCCCCAGGACTGCTCTGTGTTACTGAGACTTATCCAGCGCTGCCCTTTCGGGTGCCCCAGGAGCTGGGGAGGCATAGAGACTTCTTGGAGACTGTTGCACAGAGCAATACTGCCAAGCCAAGCTGGGCACGGAGGAGGCCCAGTTACAGGTCGAGAGAGGTAGGTGTGGACTGCAGGACATGGGGAGGAGGCTGCTCTCCACACAGACCCCTCCCCCACCAGCCGGCTTCTCTCCAGCAGCAGCTGGTGAGCACCAGTGTTCAACACTAGGCTACAGAGGTTGTCAGGCAGCTGGAAATGCCACTCTGTGGCCAGAGGGAGGGGGAAAGGGGCTCTTATCCTCGGACACTTCCCTGTGTATTTCTCTTCTACAGGCTAAAACTTCAAATCCAAGCTTGTGAATATAATTCTTTTCTAACTTTCTATGCTTTCAGATTGATGTGCTATAAATGTGGGGAATACAACAAGGACAGTCAATGTTACAAATCAAGTTAGTGTATTTTACCTTGCATGCTGAGGCTTCCTGACTGCAGTGCTTGGAGAAGGGAATTTCCTAAATTCCATGCAGAAAGCAAGGTATTCAAACTTTTTCTATAGAAGCTTCAAACTTGTTAAGTACTGAATATTGTAGATGACTGACAAGAAGAAAAGTGCAAGGAATTAACAGACCATGAGAGGACCCTCCTTTATTCATTACATTTCTCTAAGCCAGTCCCCTTAAAATTACCCAGCAAATACCTACAAGAATGCCCAAGGGTACACATAGCCTCTTGCCCTGGAATCACACTGTCTCCTCCCTAAACCTCTCCCTTCCCAAGGCAGTCCTCTAAGTCAGGGGGTGCAATTTCCTAGGGATGCTTGCCTGCTAGCCTGGTGAGCAGAGAGTCTGCTATACAATTTTCTTCACTGCTGTGATGCTGTGAAGGCCAAAGAAGAATCACCACTGCCTTTTTTTAATGATCTGGTGAGTCCTTAAGAGATGCTTCTCCCACCTTCCATCCACCAAAACCTCCACAAGAAGAACAACAAGCCAAAAACCAGTTAGATCCAAAAGAGATGGTTCTAACGCTGCTGCCTTACACTCTCTCAGAATCTGGCCCCGTGCTTTAATTCGTTTACTAGTTGTGTGGCCTTGGGAAAATTATTTCACCTCTCAGTGCCTTAGTTTCCTCATCTTCAAAATGGGGATAATAGTATCTACCTGACAGGTTGCTGTGATCATTAAATGAGTTAACTTATTATTATTGGTGGGTCTAAAATGTTTTTTGAGTGAAAAAATCCTTGTCAAGTCCTTGTGGAGAAAATATCCTCATCGATGGATTAATGTAAAGATACTAAAAGAGCCAGTCTGCCCTCAAGGCCCTGTATAACTTAGATCTTATCTCCATCCAACTTGATCCAGCCCCACCAAAGGGTCATCAAAGTTTAACTCCCGTGACATAAATAGGTGACTGTGATATAAATATGTGTACTTATAATGTGGTCTGCATACATGAATATAAATGAGGACTTGGTCCTCATCCAAGACCAGCAGGAGAGACTTCAACAATGGTTGAGCGAGATTACTCCTTATCTTTGAACTCAAGAGCAATGAACTGGGTTCAAAGGAGAGGACTGGCCAGTCTCCCTGGCCATTCTCTGTTTTGCCTAATCAATGTCTCAAGAACATTGTGGCACAATACTCATGGTTAAGACACATTCTCAAACCCAACTGAGATAAAAATGAGTCCACTGTTTGAACATACATCTGGGATCTGATGTGATGCCAGTAACTATCATGAGGCTGTGATTGTTATTCTGCAATGCACCCTGCCAAATACTTCATGTTCTTTCATTCAGTCCTCATGACATCAGTAGGTAGATTCTATTTTTCTCCCCATTTAACTGATGAGGCAACTGAAACAAGGAGAGGTTAAGTAACTTGCCCAGGGGCACACAACTAACAAGTAGCAGAGCCAGGAACCAAATTGAGGTTTATCCAACTCCTTCTGAGTCTATGATCTTAGCCATTACCCTTTACTCCAAATTACATTCAAGTAATTTTTAAAAGGAATTTTTTATATCAGAATATATTCCATTGGAATGGTTTTGTGAGATCAATCTGGATTCTTAACAAAGATTCCTCAATGTCTTCTTATTGAAAATAAAGCACCTTTGATGGCTCCTGACCCATAGTCTGGCACAAGCTTCTTATTCTGCAGTCTTTTTAATAGCAGAAGCTACTCAAAATATTCAGCTATAGTTCCTACGCAAGGTGATCAGGCCAGCAGTTTCCAGACCTGTTACATTAGGTATTGCCTAGATGGTCTAACAGCTACTTATTGAACCTCCATAATTGTCCCATGGCTTTAAGAACAGATAACCCAGCTGTTAACTTGGAAATAGTTTAACTTCTCTGGTGTTCATCCTCTCCTCACCCATACTTGAGACAGAGGTGAGTCTGGGATCCTTATAGCAATGTTTTTCAAATAATGGGTTGAGCCCCTTTAGTGGGTCATAAAAGTAATTTTGTATGTCTAGGCCAGCATATTTTATTTTATTTTATTTTATTTATTTTTTAATGTTTTTTATTTATTTATTTTTTGAGATGGAGTCTCACTCTGTCACCCAGGCTGGAGTGCAGTGGCGCAATCTCGGCTCACTGCAACTTCCACCTCCCAGGTTCAAGTGATTCTCCTGCCTCAGCCTCCTGAGTAGCTGGGACTACAGGCACACACCACCACTCCCAGCTAATTTTTGTATTTTTAGTAGAGATGGAGTTTCACCATGTTGGCCAGGATGATCTCGATCTCCTGACCTCATGATCTGCCCACCTCGGCCTCCCAAAGTGCTGGGATTACAGGCGTGAGCCACTGCACCCAACCATAACTTTTAATTAAACTAAATAGTATAGTTTAGAGAACGGAGTATATCACATGTATTTAGAGTAAGTAGTGTTGCATGAAACTTATTTTAGGTGTGCATGTGTGTAATAATGGATCACAATAAAAAATGCATGTTTTATTGTTGATCATGAGTAACTGTTTGAAAGTCCTGGTTTTACAATTTAAGCCTCATATCCCCCAATTCTTGAGCCTTCAAAGGAAAGTATGAGCATGCAGCAAGGTCACAAGAAAGGATATGCAATGAGACTATGATCCTGAGAGGAAGTGGGGTGGTAGATTTTAATGGTAGAAATAAAGGAATAAAAAACTGTCTTTTTCATGCAGAACTGATTTCTCTTCCTGAGAGCAGTTAGATGAGATTGAAAGGCTTCCCTTGAAAAGCTAAATGGGATGAGAAAAGTGCCCAGGAAACATAGAGATTGCTTAAGGATGACCGTGGCTCATGTAAAAGTTCCTGTAAAACCATTTAGAGGATTTTCGAGGTCCCGGTGTCTCACCAACATGGCATCAGGTCCAAGAGCACGTGACTCCATCTTTCCCCAGGCAAATATCCAAGTGCAAACAGAAGGACATAGACTATTGATTTCAAACTGATTTCACATTAGAATCTTTTCTAAAAATACAAATTTCAGGGCATCCTCCCTATACATACAGAATCATAACCTCTAAAGAAGAACCCAGGAATCTGTCATTGTTTAAATCTTTGTAAATGATGCTGATAAAATCATCCTAGTCATGGTTCCAAAACTGGCAGTTGAGCCAAGAGATCAATTGAAATGAAAAGGCTTCTTGAAGTGAAGGTCCAAAGTGCTAGCTTTGCATTTTGGCAATCTAGAGCAATTGTATTAGTGGGCCAGAGTTCTTGAGTCTAGGCAGGCGTGCCAGACAGATTCTTTATACTCTCCTGCTACTGACCTGGCCCACTCAGACTCCATCCCTGACACTGTCCCATTACAATAAAACAAGTTGCACAGAAATAGGACTGAAAATATCAGTAACCATCTGTTTTCCTTATCATGGTGGGGACATGAGCTTCAGCTTTTGGATTCAGGACCACAGGTATGGCAGAGAACAAAGTATATTTAGTGAACCATAAACACTGGGATTCCTCTGTGTGCCAGACATTACTCTAGATGCAAGGTCTCTGTTCTCCTGGAACACGCATTCCAGACAAGAAACCCAGACGCTTGCTGATATTTTTTTGAACCACATTTTACATCACTAAGGACTCAGACATTGGAGTATTGGAAGGAGAGAGACAGGGGCTTTCTTGAGACTGGATTTTCAATATTTTCCCTCTTCTAACTCTTGTAAAAGGATGCTGTGTGGTAACCAGAAAAGATATCAGGGGCATGGAAAATGATCCAGCTTTATAAAATAGTCTTTGCTCCAAAATTTACAAAAACCTTTTAAAGTCACAGCACCAAATAACTACAGTAACTCAGAAAAGTCAGTGCCCTACTAATATTGAAAAATTGCACACTGCCTGCAAGCCCAGTAATTATTATTGGTTTCTGTTTCTCATTTTCATCATAGGTATTAGTTAGGTGTCTCAATGGAGATAATTCAGCTTCTTCCCTCTAACATTTCACCACTCCAATTTTTCAGACTTTCTAAATTAAGTGGACCAATGGCCATGGCTCTTTCCCTCCTCCCTAAACCACTTCCCTCTCCCATCCTCCAAAAAACAAAGCAAAAGAACACCCTAAAATTGCTAATCTCTATTTAAAGGAATATAAAATGTTGGGTTATTTTCTTGGCCCAGTCAAGATATTACTGGATGACATTTTTCAATTATTTAACCTGTCTGGTGGGATTTTTAGAAAGTAAATATGTCTGGCATTTTTTTTCCAGTTCCCATCCTGGAGGACTCCATAAGGACAAAAACATCTGTAGCCAGAGTTATTCCCAGGTATCAGGAGGACAAAGTGAAAGCACATATGGTTCTCAGTGCTTACTAAAGGAGGTAGCCCTCTCTCCCCAGTGTAGACCTTCCTCCTGTAAGGATGCACTGAGGCCAGTAACAACTTATGTTGGGCCAAGAGCAGAGAATCTGGGCTTTTTCTTTTCAGTAACACTCCATTAAAAACTCCTCACCTATGCTAGGCTTTTGTTTATTTGTAAGCCAAGTCATACTCATACACACACATATGTAATCATCCATTCATTTCACAAATATTTATTGACCACCTACTCTGTGCCAGCCAGGAGCAAATGACAGTGTGGCTTTCTCACCATGGGAAACCTATTGCACTTGTTTTAGATGAGCCACGTACCCCAGGAACAGTTTTACAGCATAGCATTTGTGTACTGTGCTTGCTGTGTAAATTCATTCTCTGTTGATTATCAATATAAAAAATATAAAAAACACACACACAAAAAACAAAATTTCTCTTAATACCACCAACCAACAATGACCACCACTTATATTTGATTGTATTTTATTCTATTTTTGTATTTAGTTTTAATTTTAGTTGCTTTATAAAGATGTATTCACACTGTACATACAATTTTATATGTTGCTTGTTTTTCCTACTTATCAACACAACATATGACTTTTCCCAGTAATAATTTCTGGGACTTGAAGACACAGGTATTTCTAGAGCCATGACAAGTCACCAAATAGTTCCTATGGCTTCTTCATTCACAATTCAGGTTTGAAAACAATCATATTTTCTGGTAGCCTCTTGCTCACATTTTTATACTATACAAATTTAAAGAGTTGACAATTTTAGCTTTTATATGAAGCTATGTAATAATTATGGAACTTGTAGTAAGTGTGTGAGTCTTGGATAGGAACTAAATGTCCTCATTTCCCTCTAATCCCTGAAGTCTCCTGCTGGGCATCCTTTTAAATTTATCTGGATACCACCGTTTCCTGCTGGACTCTGTAGTCTCCAAGTGGGCACTGCCATCACCACCATTGTGCCCAAAATATCTGATAGAGTATGGCAGAGACCACGGAATCACCAAAACATCCAGCTCATTTCCTACATTTCCCTGCCCTCTTGCCGTTAGGCAGCCATATGACCAGCGCTGGTCAATGAGCTATGGACGGGAAGGATGTGTGTCACTTCCAGGCCAGGTCAATGTGGAACTCTTGAGGTGTCTCTCTGATCAAGAAGACTATGTGTTCCAGATAGTAATAATCAAAAAATAATACAGCCTTCATCAACCTAGGAGCCCAGTGACTGAGGTAATAAAGCCCACACCAACTTACCTTGGACATGTAAAGTAAGTAAAAAATAAGTCACTGGGAATTGACACTTGTTACTGCATCATAACATGACCTATTCTTACTACTAGACACAGCTTTTAGGGGAATCATTTAAAAGAATGAACTAAAACATTTTTATCTATAGCCAATGCCCTCTATTGAAATCAAATATGAGGTAAACAGAAGTAATACATACTTTACTGTTTTCAGAATTCTAGCCACCTGTTCCAAAAATTCCATCAAATATCAGAAGTCTATGGTTGATACAGCTTAGGCTCACTGGATGTTTCACTTACTTACCACTCTGATCCTAAGTATGACACATATTCAGAAGTAGGTAAAACACAATGAGATTAGAAAATGGGCAAAAGACTGGAACAGAAACCTCACCAAAGAAGATAGAGGAGATGGTAAATAAGCATACGAAAAGACGTTCAACATCATATATCATTCAGGAATTACAAATTAAAACAGCAATGAGATACCACTACATACCTATTCAAATGACTAAAATCCAAAACACTGATAATGCCAAATGCTGGTGAGGATGAGGAGCAATAGAGGCACTCACTCACTGATGGTAGGAATACAAGATGATACAGCCACTTTGGAAAACATTTTGGAAGTTTCTAACAAAACTAAACATACCCTTACCATACAATCCAGCAATTACATTTTTTTGGTATTTACCCAAGTGACTGTAAAACTTACATCTACACAAAAATGGGCACACAGATGCTTATAGCAGCTTTATTCACAATTGCCAAAATTTTGCAGCAACCAAGATATCTCTCAGTAAGTGAAATAAACTATGATAAATCCAGACAAGAGGATATTATTCAGTACTAAAAAAAGAAATGAGATACCAAGCCATAAAAGACATGAAAGAAACTTAAATGCCTGTTACTAAGTGAAAGAAGCCAATCCGAAAAGGCTGTATATTGTATGATCCCAATTATATGACATTCTAGAAAAGGCAAAACTATACAGTAAAAAGATAAGTGGTTGTCAGGGGTTAGGACAGGGGTTAGAAGGAGGGAAGGATGAATAGGTGGAGCATAGAGAATTTTTAAGGCAGTGAAATTATTCTGTAGGATATTATAATTGTGGATACATATCATTATGAATTTCAAAATCTATAGAATGTAAGCACCAAAAGTGAACCTTAATATAAACTATGGACTTTGGGTGATAATGATGTGTCATTGTAGGCTCATCAATTGTAACAAATGTTTTGCTCTGGGGTGAAATGCTGACAGTAAGAGAATTGGCACATAAGTGGGGAAAGGGAGTATACAGGAAATCTCTGTGCCTTGTGCTCAATTTTGCTATTAATGTAAAATACCTCTAGAAAATAAAGTTTATTTGAAATTTTTGAAACAAAAATCACAAAAAGTAGAGACAAATGCAGACAGAAAATTTAAAAATGTAACCCTTAGTAATCATATTGGTGGTAGTACTACTAATATTAATGTTCTGAAACTGTTATGCTTGTAAAAACCTATCACACAAAAGTTGTACTGGAAGTTTCAAAATGAGCTCATAAGGTTATTTATTTTTTATCTAAAAATATATATTTTGTAGCTCTGCCCACTGAAAAGACCTGGAAACAATGATCAACACAATCGGGATAAACATACTTTGTGCCTAGATTACGGTTTGTAAGTACCATTTCCCATTAAAAGAAACCAGGGATTCTTGAAGAAATGGCAGATTCCATGTTTGGGGCAGAAAATATGTAAGATGAGCCTAGACTGACTTGTCATATGAGATAGCAAAGAAGCTATTAAAGACTACTAGGATCATGTGAAAAGGATTCAAATGTCAATGAAAGAAGCTCTCATTGGCCAAAGATGGGACAAATTGAGCTATATAAAGATAATGATTACAATGGCTTGAAACCCACCAAATATGTTGAATACATATAGGAACACATGGATACACGAGTTCATAATAATTAGATAAAAATTAATCTTTGGAGGGTAACAGGAAACATTCAATACCTTGAAAACAATTGAATAAAAGAATCAAGCATTTATTGGCCTTTCCTATATGAATTGTTAACACTGATAAATCAAATAATAGATGAAGAGATGAGTCTTTTTACAAAAATATTCCAACAAATAAGTAGAAAAGAAATAATATGCAATAATATTCTGCAGCCCACAATAAATTAATGGATCTAGGCATTGAGCAATCAATATCTGCCAAGTCACAAAGAGAGACAACCAGACGTTACATACTTTCTAATGTGCCACCCATATCCTTGCCAAAGAGATAGACTCTGAGTTTCACCAAGCCTCCAAATCCAGCTGCCAGTTCGCAGGAAATACAGAGGCTGGAGTAAATGCTGAATCTCATCAGGAGTGTCCAATCAGCAACATCCGGCCTACAAGAAACTCTACAGGTCAAATGCCCCGAGTAACAAATACATTGTACAGAAAAGAGAAGTTTGGAAGGAAAACTGTAGGTTTAAAGAGATTGAAAGGATATATCACAAGATTTTTAAATAGATAAAACTAAACTATAGTGTTTAAGGATGTCATTTGGGTGGTAAAACCACAACTAAAGTTGTGGTGAAAGAAAAGTGATTTTTGTGGAAGTCAGTATATTACTTTCATGGGGAGGGAGGCAGAAATTGCAACTGGGACAAAATACATGGAGGGCTTCTGATTCTGCTGACCAAGTTCTGTTTGTTTATCTGGTTGATGGTTAACCGAGTGCTTGCCTTATAACAATCCATTAAGCTCTACACTTGTTTTGTTTGGTTTTCTATATTTGTGTTTTATTTTATAATTTTTTTAAAAAGGCTTTAAACTTTAAAAACACACAGACACACACAGTGTGTTGGGGTTTCTGGATAAGCTTCACAGAGGTAGTATAACCTGAATTCAGTCTTAAATGGCAAAGCAAATGAGAGTTGGGAATGAAAATTTAATTGACTTAGAGGGAAAGGAGTCCCTCTGAACCCTGCATGAGCTACTCATCCTTCCGGTGGCAGCACCTCAAATCCCTCAGGCCCAAGACAGTCAAGCTCAGAATCCACCGTAATTTTCCTCCACAGAGCTTTGCTATTTTTTCACTTCTCCCATATGGGTTCTTGTTGTACCAAGTAACAAACACTTCCCTTCCTGTGTTCTTCTTGATTTAAGGCATGAATCCCACTCAAAGAGGCATATCACAGGCTATCACCTACTATCTGTAAAAGCTAGAGAAGACAAACCCTGGGTCCCAGAATCAATGGCTCCTTCACATTCTGAGGATGTGCTATTTGACCCGAGAAGCCACTGGGGACTTGGAACTAAAGCATGGGGCCAGCTTTTGCTCTCTTTCAACCTAAAACTTTAAAAAAAAAAATCCACTGACCCAAAGCAGTGGTCCCCAGATTAGAAATCAGCCCCAGCCACGATTAGAAGAGACGCCACTTGGAAAAGGCTGGGACAAAGCTGATAAGCACAAAGTATTCTTGGAATTGTTGTGTTGTTTTTAAAATGATAGTGTTTTTATTTCACATTTTTGTTGCTTCTTGTCCGTTTTCACTGGGAGTTGAGTATTTCTCTGAATTTTCTTTTTTGTTGCCCTCAGGGAGATGGGGCCTTTCTTCAGGAAAGCATTCTTTCCTCCAATTAGTTCTATTTTCCTTCTCTAGGAGTGTTCCATGCAGCCTAGAGTCAGCCTAATTTCTGGCTGGTGTCTACTGGCCTGATCATTCCTCTCCCCTGGATTGAGAACATGTCCTTCTGATCTGCCTTTCCAGCTTTTAGGTCTAGAAAGGCTAGGTGAAAAATGTGGATGGATGTGGAGTCATCTTCACCAGGAACTAAGGGAAGGAGACTGTTTTACACAACTGTCCATTGAGGTGAAGACAGAGGTGAGAATTCTTACCTTTTTGTCAATGTGGCCTCTGAAAAGCAGAGAAATAGCTGAAAATAGATGCCCACCAGGGGAAAAAGAGAGTTAGCCCAAGTTGCTTATTCTCAATGTCCAGAGTTCTTGGCTTAATTCTGTGATTGTGTGAGTGAGCCCCACCAGTAAACCCTGGACCTTCACCACTGTGAACCTTCTTGCTTGGAGATGGAGGCAGGTGATTTTTATTGACATATTAGTGTGAATTTCTGTTATTATTTGCATTTGGAGACTTAACTGAACATTTTGTTTCCTGTTACAGAAATTCCATCATGTTTTCTGGACAGTATTTTGGAAGGCAAAGTCCCTTCCTCGACCCCATAAAAATCCCTACCAAGTTGTTGGCAGCTTCCTCTGCAGAGGCATGTAAGGAGTATCAACATGGAATGGGAACCAATGGCCAGCAGTACACATTTCAGCCCACAATACACATTTCACACGTTAGAGTGAGCAAAGAGCTCAGGGAACCACGTGCTTGTGGCCCTGGAATGTGTACTGTGGGCTGTGGTGAAGTGTCTGACGCATCCCAGATGACAACTGCTGTGGACCCCTAAGGAGGGAGCAGGGGTGTGAAATGTCTCAGACCTTCCTGTGTCTGGGAGGTGAGAGCAGAGTCTTGCTATAAAACAATCCAGAACTTTGGCCCAGTGGATGTTATCAAAAGCAGTCACTGAGGCCAGTTGCCAGTAAATACCACAGTCAGGTTGCTTTGCCTTTTCTAGTGGGAGCTGTTCTCCCCAGCTGGATGAAAAGTATGCAACTGCTCACTTAATTCTGAAGGACGACAAGCACTTCCCAAGGCATCACCCAAGCTGCGGTCCCCATTTCTTCCCATGGTGCTGTTAATCCTGGGCCGTTTTCCATGTTCCACTCACAGGCATGTTGGTGGGGTACTAGAGGGGTGTGTGTGTTATAGCGTGTGCCTGGATTTCATGTTCAGTGGCACCCCACCCACTCCCTCTCCCAGAAACAGAAGAGAAAGCAAGGTGAGGGAGAGAAGAAGGGACTAGTGCATTTAATAGGTACCACAGAGTGATCAGAAACTGTTTTTTCTGGCAGAAAAGTATTTTTCCAACAATTAGGCTTAAGAGAAAGCCACAAAGACCTGAAGAAGGAAAAGTATTTTCTTACACAAAAGACTTGGGCTTATCAAGGAAATTGAAGCAGCAAAAAATGTTAGTTATTGAGACCAATGCTCTTCCTTTCACGTTGGCTGCCACCATGCAAGCGACTGAGTGTATGAAAGCATTGCAAATATTTGGAGGCAGGATAGGATGGCAGTTAGCAACAGAGCTTGAAGTTGGAAATTCCAGGCTTGAATCCTGATTCTTCCACCTACCAGCTCTTACAAGTTACTAACATCTGGTGAGTGTTTAATGAAATGATGCATTTGAATTGCCAAAAACAGTACCAGACAGGTAGTATATGCTCCATAAACATAGTATTCTTATTTATTGAGACAAAACTTTTTAAAGGATATATGTCCCAAAGAACAAAGAGAAATCTTAGCATGGATCAACATTCCTCTGTCAGGGAAACTCTTCTTGAGAAAGGGCACACCAGGAAGCAAGAGGGGGAAAGGAGATAGGTACCTAAGTGGCCAAGTCAACCCCTGTGACCAATGACTAGCAGCTTTTAAAATCAATGTGTGCCTTCACATGAAAGATGAGGGGGCATGAGGGTACACAGAGAGGGCCCTGTGCAGAAGATGCTGCACTCACACCTGCCTCTGAACCCCCTGATTCTTTCCATGCCCACCTCACATGCAGGAGGGCTAGAGCTGATCTAGGTGAGTGAACCTCCCTGACCACTTTGCCAGCACTTAGCTAGGAGGAATAGAGAAGAGATGGGACCATATACCTGGAAAGGTATCCATAAAGAGTTGGCAATGTGAATTTGCTCAGTTGATTGATGTGGCTGCCTTCCAAACTGATACCCCCTCCCTAGTTTTGGGTGGACCTAATAAGCAGATTTGCTTTTCCTGGTGCTGGTTAAACACCCAAATGCTCTTCCCACATCAACAAAGCCCTTAACTGAGTACAAAGGAAAAACTCAGTCTGAAGCTCTCCCATGAAAAGGATTTTGAGGGAGGAATGTCAGAGCCCAGAGACATCCAGGATGGAAGAATCTCAGAGGCCCGTGTTAAACATCACCTTCCTCTCTGGTGCTTACTCACATAGTCCAAATGTGAATTCAGCAAAACTAAGCTACTTGAATCCACAAACCTTGAGATAAATGGAGTTTTGAAATAGTGCTCCTTTTTGGATGGTCCCTGTCTATTGCATTTTGTCCACTTTATAATGGTCACCCTTGATCTCACACCCTTTACTGCCTCTTACTCTCCCCAGCCAGCCCCTCTTAGGTTTCTGCACACAAATGCTATTCTTCATCTATTTATCAAATCCACTGTACAGAGAGTGTCTTGATTTAATCTGCATTTTCAGCACCTAACACAGTTCCTGGTACATTGTAGTGGCTCCACAAATACTCATCAAATGGATTCGTGAAGTACCAATTATGTGTCTAGCATCTCAGTTATGAGACCCAATTGAGAAAGTGGTTTGTACTGAAGTGCCAAACCTAGCTCCCCAAATTAGTGACCTTATAAACTGACAGATAGGAAGCATAACTTGGGACCATTTGTGAAACAGAGTGAAGTTAGCTGGCTCCACTGTGAATTGAACCCATCACCTTATAGTCACTAGCACCTGGCGCTGTCAACTGAATAAATGAGGCATCCACTGCCCCTGATTCAACAAACAGCTGAGGTGACAAGACTCTCTTCCTTGCCCCAGAACCCATCCTTGTTACATAGAGTCTTCCTAATGTGAAAGCAGCTTCTCAAAGTTCAGATGGGGAAGCTGAAGCTGACCTCCCACAAGGCAAGTGCTATTCTCTGTTTCCAACAAATGCAACATGCCAACACTTCTAACAATGAGAATAAAAACTCAGAGAAAAACAACTGAAAAGAAAAGGAGGAGAAAAGCTCCTCAGCTTGCTTGAACTTACAATCATGTGCCACATAACGTTTCTGTCAACAACGGACTGCATAAACAACAGTGGTCCCATAAGATTATAATATTATATTTTTACTATTCTTTTTCTATGTTTGGAGGTGTTTAGATACACAAATGTCATTGTGTTGCAACTGCCACAGTATTCAGTACAGTAACATGTTATACAGGTTTGTAGGCTCGGTAGGCTATGCCATAAAGCCTAGGTATATAGTAGACTATACAGTGTAGGTTTGTGTAACTGCACCCTGTGATGTTCACATGACCATGAAATCACCTAACGATGCATTTCTCAGAACATATTTCCATCATTAAGCGATACATGACTGTTTCGCAGAAGGGTTGGACCTCCCATATGGTCTCAGAGCTACAAAATACAATTTAGGATTTCTATGCAAAACAGGTGAGCCTAACACCAGAATTTCACTGTGGAGTCCAGAGGGAAGTTGCCCTTGGCTCTGGAAACTCTTTTTCTCCCTCCACGTTGCAGGGAATTTTTGGCTTTCCAAGATGACAAATCCCCTTTTGCACTGATTTGGCCTTCGGTCTGTGCTGCGACAGATACACAGGGCCACCCCTAGGTGGGGTTCATAGCCCATGGCAAACCACATTGTTGTTCTCTGCACCTAGAAAGCCTTCATACCTCTCTCTGCTGCACAGACTCTGATTCATTCAAGGCTCACTCTCTCCATGAGACCTTCCCTGATTTCTAAAGCACTCATCAGATTCCTTCTTTTCTGACTCCCTGTAATATGTAAGTATGGTTCCTCTTTATCATACCATTTGAAACTTAATCTCTTTTCATCTCACATAATATACTAATATTAATATTTAATATGATAACTTACTTGACCCAGGGAGGCCTGAATGTACCTGGAGGTAACTACTCATAAATTAGAATTGGAAGGACCCTAGCCAATCAGATGATGGTGCTTGAAATTTTATCATTAGAATTATAGAAAGAGAATCAAAAATGATTGGACATTACTCACTCAGTCCAACCTCTTGCCTAGCACAAGAATCCTTCCACAGTAGCTTGGCCGATGTTCATTTGGCCTTTGCAGCAATTTTTCCAATTACAGGAATTTCATTTTCTTTGCAATAATTCATTCCCATATAGGACCTCATTAAGCTTCTATATGAAGTTTTTATATAGAAAATAATTCTTCAAGTTTGAAGAATTATTAAAGGTAATACCCTTCAGCAGAGATAACATGTTAAACACGCATGTATTATCTGTCACTTAGACCTAATTCTGCATGTTGCCTAATACATTTTTTAAAACCTAAGACATTTAATAGATAACTAATTTATAGATAACTAAGAAAAAGTGGAGCACTCTGATAGGAGAATGAACAAAAAGTCTGATAAGACAACTTATAAAAAAAATGATATACAGGAACAGAAAACCAGATACCACATGTTCTCGCAAAAGGAAGCTAAATGATGAGAACACATGACACATAGAGGGGAACAACACACACTGGGGCCTACCGGAAGGTGGAGAGTGGCAGGAGGGAGAGGATCAGGAAAAATAACTAATGGGTACTAGGCTTAATACCTGTGTGATGAAATAACCTATGCAAAAAAAAACCCATGACACAAGTTTACCTATATAACAAACCTGCACATGTACTCCTGAACTTAAAAGTTAAAAAAAAAAAAAAAGAATGGCCTGGGTCAGGATAGGCATGAGGTTACAGTAGAAAAGAAACAATAAAAAAGGTAACTTTGTATTAAATATTGAAGTATGAATTAAATTTCAGAGTTTTTGCAGCCTTTGAAGAAAAAACAGGTGATATATGTGCCCAATAAATATAGGAAAAAATGCGTCTAATCTAACAAGTAATCAAATAAACGTTGTCACCTGTCAACTTGGACAACCACTTTGAAAAATAAAAAATAGCCAGTATAGGGAGACCTGTGAAATAGGGTCTCCCATTCACTACTGGTGAGAGTATAAGTTGTTGCAGTCTTCTGGAAATGATTTGCATGTGTGTCATGCCTCTCCATACACTTTTAACTAGTCATCTTGCTTTTTGAAGTGTATCCTAAGAAAATAACCAAAGAAGCAGACAAAGATTTATATATAGGGATGCTCATCCAAGTAGCATTTACCACAGCAAAAAGTTGAAAACAACTTAGATGTACCCCAAAAAATGGGAAGGAAGAAAATATATCATGGCACATCCACATGTCAGAATGCAACAAACACAGAACACCATGTTTTGGAAATTATTTTATGTCTTGGGAAATAGCAAATATGCAATTTTAAGTGAAAATGCAAGATTATAAAATTATACGTGTATTAGAATCCTACTTTTATTTAAAAATATAAATATGAATAATTCAAAGTGAAAACACCTATCCAGCAATAACCACTATCCAGCCACCTATCCGGTGATAACCACTGCATATGGATATTGGGATTATGGATTGTTTTATAGTTTCTTCTTCAAATTTTTCTGCATAGTTCTAACTTTCTACAGTAACTTCTATTATTTTTATAATTAAAAAACTATTTATATGATTTGGAATGCTTTACAGTGAACTAGTTAAGAAGAAACTCTTCAAACTCCCAGGTAGCTAAGGCAGTGTTTAGCAGATAACTATGCGGAGAGCCATGTCCAGCACCTGGGGTATTTCCTAAGCAAAGAGCTGGTGGCAGCTAGAGAGAGTTTGGGAAAAAGCTATATCTTTTCATCTTTGTATCCTCAACACCCAATATCGTACCTCATCTGGACCAGAAACATAATTTACAAGGCCTGGTGCAAAATAAAAATTCAGAACTTCTTGTTTGAGAAATATTACAAATTTCAAGATGTTAACAGTGCATTGAACCAAGCACAGGGCCCTCCTAAGTGTAGGGCCCTGTGTGACTACAGAGATCCCACACCCATGAAGTGGGCCATACATTGTAGGTGCTCAATAAATACTTGTTGAAAGGAAAGAAAGAATGAGTAGATAGAATAAATACAAACAGACTTCTCAACTGTGCCCAATGGCAAAACTAGACTCAGCAAGATTTGAAATTATGGGAGTGTTCTGTACTCCTAGAGGTTAAATTTTTAAAAGAAGAAGAAGAAATTATGGGAGAGTATGAGGTCATAGGCATAAGAAATCACTGTTCCAGAATTTTCCCAGAGAGTTTATATTCAAACTACACTGTCCTGTTGTCCTCAAAAATGTATCTGTTAGATCATAGTCCACAGTTTCTATTTTTGATCTGGACAACATGATCAGTGCATCTATAGAAGAAATAAATATTATCACTTCTGTCTGTTCCAATAAGATATTTGGCTCAATTATATCCTCCCTCACTGCTTTTGCCTCAACCTACTTTTCCTCTCATAACCCTAAGCTTAGCAATAGAACTCTCCTTACCCATCCTTTCCTTCCTGCACCCCACACACACTCATCCTCAGCACTCCCTCTGCCTTTAATGCCAGCCAAGCAGACACTGAACATGAGAAGGTGTCTGCAGAGGATGTGAATAACCCTCATCCTAATCCCCTCCATGGTCTCCCTGCACAGGCCTGGATGAGGCCCAGGAGAACTGGAGTTGCCAGCTCACAGAAGCAGTTGCAGCCTAAAAGAAGACCAGGCAGCCAAAGGTTGTCACTTATCAAAGAAAAATGAGACAATTTGTTACAAGTTATTAGACTGGAGAAACTGAGCCATTAAGTGGGAGCCTGACCCTTGGATGGGAACAATGATGCTAAAGGGAGATGCTCATCCCCGCTTACAGGGCTGCGTCCCAGCCCTCTGATGCCAAAAGAATACAAGAAGTCTAACACCCCCCTGCACAAGCCAAGTTAGCAAACGTCCAGCATCTTGTTCAGTCAGCAGACATGCTATGGTAATAGTAGTGACACCCCCAATACATACCAAGTGTTTTGCTCCTTAATCACTGTCACAGACAATTGATACTGCCATTGATACTCGTGGGCTTGGGGAGGTCCCCAAACACCCGTAGGACCTCAATCCTGGCTGGCGTCCAGGCTCTTGACACTGTTGTGAGAAGGAATTTAAGGATGAGTTGGAAAATACTGAAAGTGCAGAGATGTATCACAAAGCAAAAAGTACACACCCGAGAAAAGGGAGTGTGTGCCTACTCAAGAGAGAGAGTCATGCCCAGTGGGGTTCAGGGTTTCCATCTTTATGAGTTTCTTTAACTAAGAGGTGGAATATTCATGAAGATTCCTGGGAAAAGGTGAACATTTCCTGGAACTGTGGTACCACCCATTTTTACACCAATTTGGGTGTTCCCGGACTATCACGGCACTGGTGGGTGTGTGATTTAGTAAGTTAATGAACATATAATGAGGTTATAGGTGAAACCCATGTCAAATCCAGCACCATTTTGGGTCCAGTTGGTCTTAGCCAGCTTAGCCTACATCTGGTTTTCAGGATCTTATCAGCCCCTAGTTTATGCAGCTATTTCAACAATTTCCTTTTGCTAGTCATGTGAAACTGCTAACTGCTCCATTCTCCAGCTACCACCCAGTATTACCACTTGGTCCTTACAAGAACATGTGATGTAAGATAGGACAAGTATTCAATCTCAGTTTATAATTTAGGAAACTGAAACATCAAGAGGTTAAGTGAGGCCAGGCACAGTGGCTCATGCCTATAATTCCAGCACTTTGGAAGGTTGAGACAGGAGAATCACTTGAGTTCAAGACCAACCTGGGCCACATAAGGAGGGCCCATCTCTACAAAAAATTTAAAAATTAACCAGGTGTAGTGGTGCATGCTTGTGGTCCCAACTACTAAGAAGGGCTGAAGTGGGAAGATTGCTTGAGCCTCAGAGATCAAGCCTGCAGAGATTTGATCATACCACTGCACTCCAGCCTGGAAGACAGAGCAAAACCCTGTATCAAAAAAAAAAAGAAAGAAAGAAATAGAGGGAGATAGAGAAAGGAAAGGAAAGGAAGGGAAAGGAAATGAAAGGAAAGGAAAGGAAAATAAAGGGGGAAAAAAAGCTGAAGTTACTTACCCATGGTCAGAATTTTAGCTAATCACAGGCCCGGGACAAAAACCCAGGTTTCCTGAGTTTAGTTTAATGGCTCTTTCTACATTGCTATGGTTGAGGCTAGGTGTAAGTATTTCTCAATTACAGCCAGACTAATGGAGGTAGGGAGGTATACAGGAAGGATGAGGGTGGATGAAACAGACTCTAGGAGGAATTTCTGGGCATTTTTACATTAATAAATAAGACATAAATAATTTGTCATTTATATTGCAGCTTAGTGGCTACCCTGTTTTTAATTAATCACATAAAAGCAGGAAGCCTGACCAAAAGTGGAACAAACAATTTCTATTTTGGTTTGGAATGAGATTATTTTTGCTTTATTTGAATATATGATTCTGATGTCCTGGGGACACTTTTTAAACCAGATAGTGAAGCCAGCCTTGAATAGCTGACTCAATTCAATCCAACAAGTGTTATTGAGCACGTTCTCCCAGCCTTAGACTTGTGGCTGACCTTGATTGTCTCCCTCAGGCAGATGCTTCTTTCAAGCCCCTATTTTGCAAGCAAAGGTCCCATTATAGCAGTTATCAGATTAGAATATTTTTGTCTGTGTGGCTGCTTTACCACTGTATTGTGAGCCTTGGAAGGCAGGACCCATACCCTAGTCATCTTTATAACTCAAAAGTCTAGGAGATGAGCTGAGAGATGACTGGTGTTGGTAAATCTGTCTGATAGATAAGCTAATGAATGCACAAACTGGCTAACCTGAAAAGATCATTGACCTCTCCAAAGTTTCAGGTCTCTTATTTATGAAATAGATATGGGTACACCTATTCTGCCTGAGCCATGGGTTTGTTAAAAGATTAAATGTTTATATGTTTATTTTCTGGCCTTCACACACACAGACCTCAAGCAAACTTAAATGTCAAAAACCTGAAGACAGGAGCCTTGTTCCTCTTGTTCATGGTTGTGTCCTCAATATCTATACTGGTACCTTAGTAAGTGCTCAATTAATATTTGTAGAAGGGAGGAAGGTGGGACAGAAAGGTATAGGAGAATATTTTATAAACACTAATGTCTCCAAAAAGTTAGAATTCCCCCAACCAAAATGCAATACATTGTGATCATCAGAAAGCACCTTGTGCTGCTTAAAGACTCTGTCCTGTTATCAGTTCTGCCCCATCAGTGGATCAGTCCCTTCTGTCATCTGTGGATAAGGAGCATTGCACTCACACTTCTCCTTCTCAGACGAGGCCAACTGTGTCTTTTTCAAATTTTCTGTGGTAAAGGATAAAGGGGGAAGCCATAGAGTCATATCAACAATGCCAGTAACCAAGAAAAATGGCTGCCAAAACTTACCTAGGACTCACCTAGGATTCATAATGCCATTTGTGGAGTCACTAACCCAGGCTCTGAGGGACACGGTGGTCCAGACAGAGCCTGTGTCAGAGCTGAGAGCTCCTGTGGCCTGGCCCCTGCAGCCACTTTGGAGGTGGAGTGGGGAACACTGGTGCCTCTGGAGCCCAACTGAGCTGAATAACCATCTCAGCACAGGCACTTCCTGGGGATTAATGAGGCACAGAAAAGAATAACACCTCAAACCATTAACCCCAGCCAGCCATAAATCCTCAGGAATTGCATGGCAGAGTGGCTGTTCCTGCTATATTAAGGTGAAAATGCATTTTTAAAAAGCCTATGGATTTTCTTTAATGGACAGCAATACCATTGGTACCCAATGGGCCTTTCCACAGACAGAATACCTCAGCCCAGTGGCCTGGCTCTTTATCCAATTTGCAATGTTTCCTTGCCTCTGCCTACTGTCTTTTCCTGTGCCCTTTGCTTTTAGAATAGATTGAAAAACACCATGTTAACTGAAAAAGCACTGGAATAAGACAGCGATAAGTCCAACCAGCTTGCAGCAGCCATGACCTGAGAGCAGATGCCGCTCTAAACATGGCTCAATGGGCAGCCAGATGGGGAGAAAAATCAAGAGTAAAGCCTGCCAAGGTGTAGGAATCCCCAACTGACCTTTTTGACATTGAAATCCCCAATGAAAATGCAAATGTTATCAGACAGGGGGAAGCCCCTGAGCCACTTGTAGGCTATCAACAGGTTTGCTACAAATTGTCTAATACAGTCAATCACCTGGCAGAGCCCTGGGCAATGGAACTCAACACAGGTATTAACAGGGGAAGTAGAGAATGTCAGAAATGATGGGCTAGAAAGGTAAAACAAACAAAAAAAAAGTGGGGGAACATGGGAGACATAAAGAGGGTTGGGGGAGGCACCAGGTCATTAGCCAGTGGATATTGATATGGACAGGAGGCAGGGAAACACGGGGTAGAAAAGGGTAGGATTCTTGGTGAGGGCTCCACCCTCAAGCCTGGACCCACAGCCCTAAATGAGAACATGCATTCCTATTTTCCCTCCCAAATGTTGCTTTTTCCAAAACACCCTAACCTGCCACACCCCCCCCCATCCTCTACCCATAAAAACCCCAAGCTCCACTGGCAGAGGAGCAGAGCAGTGTGGCAGAGGAGAGAAGAGAAACGGTGTCTGAACATCAAGAGGAAAAGAGGCAGCTGAACATTGGAGAGGAATTTGGGCGGGGATGATCAGAGAGGAGTTTGGCTGGCGACAGCTGAATTCCAGGGGAAAATTATCTTCCCATTCCATCCCCTTTCCAGCTCCCCATCCTGCTGAGAGCCACTTCTACCATGCAATAAAATCTCTGCATTCACCATCCTTCAAGTCTGTGTGATCTCATTGCTCTTGGGCACCAGACAAGGATCTGGATGCAGGTGCAAGAGGCTGTCACACTGACTCTCCACTGAGCTGTTTAACACTTAGCCATCCATGGACAGCAAAAGCTAAAAGATCACTGATTATAACACATGCCCCTTTGGGGCTCCAGAGGTCACAGACAACCCCTAGATGCTGCCATGGGATGGTACAGGGTTCATTCCTGTTGGCACTAGCCCTTGCTCCTGAACTCACTCACCTGTGTGCTCCCCCTCCTGCAAGGGGTTTGAGCTTGATGGCTGAGTAAATGAGCCACCTTTGTCACAAGTCCCACAAGGGGGTCAAGGGAACTTTCCCATCTCAATACAAAGGGTGGTGGATGGAAAGTAAATATCAGATCACCAATAACTATCAGATTAATAATTTTTAAGCATAGGTAGGGGATGGCTAAAGACAAACAGAAGCCAAAAGAGAAGACAAAAGAGAGAGAGAAAAAAAATAACATCAGAGTTTAGCAAGAAGAACAGAAGAATTCCTTTTGGCTGTCACAGAATATTGAAGTTCTTGGAGGTTCCACCAACCAGGGTAAAATAAATATCTACTCCATAACTCAATTTGTCTATTAAAACAATCTCTTTCCTTCCTTTGAGGATAAAACTTCCTTCAGAAAATCACTCTGGGAGATGAAGAGTTAATATTTAAAAATTTCCAGGCAACTTTGGAGAGCAAGGTTCTATTCTAAGTGTGAGGGATTCATATTATAAGAAATCCTGTAGATTGACAAAACTAAATGGCCTCTACATCGTATAACCATAATCCTCTTCAGTGTACCAAAGTCCAAAAATAAAGACCAGATGTCTTCAAATTGCTGACGTTTATTGAGCTGGTTTCACTCACTCACAGCTAAACCAAGCTTTCCCTGGACACAAAGCTAAGGATTTCCGTCATTGTATTATTGGTTTTTTTGCCACAGTATTCCTGTTCATGTATACGGGAACCCTTTTGGCCTCCTTGGGTCTGGAATGGAGTTTTCTACTCCTTAGAGGATGTGTCTGTGGAAGCTCAGTTGAAACCTGTTAAGTGCCTGTGCCTTTCTGACAGCCTCTTCTGGCTGGGAAGAGCCCATTTCTCACTAGCAGCTGGTCAGAATAGTGAGGCCTCCACCAGTGACTTGTCCATGGCTTTGTGTAGGCTAGCTGCCATGGGATGGTACATGGGGGGTAGCTCCCCCACCTCCTGCCAACGCACTCACTCCCTTTTTCTCATAAGTTTCCAAACAGTATTATTAGTGCTAAAATGTTTCCTGGTTTTTATTCTTATATGTGTTTGCCCTATTAGATCACAAGCTTCTCAGCCATGAGAACTGTTTTATAATTCCATGTCATTCTCTCCGTCAACTCGCATAGATCATATATTGATGTCTGTACATCATGAGATATTAGTGAAGAGTATGTTGACTGACTAATTCTTAAAAGGGAGAAAAAAAAGAAAAAGTGAATTGTGACAATGGATTGCAGACCAAAGACAAATAGGTGTGTGCTTACAGATATGTGTGTACATGTTCATCTGTATATTCACTCATTCCATAAATACGTATTGAGCACCTACTATGCTCCAGGTACTAGGCATGGGGATACAGAACAGAACAAGAAAAATAAAGCCCTTTCCTCCCTGAAAACCTCCTTAGGATCTTCTTTCAATACAATTTGCCAGATCCTTGAGTGTCATGTTATTTGTGTGTTTGTAGGGTTTATACCATGGCTGAAAAGGGACAGTGTGTTTGGATATGTGTCATATAAAGAAAAAACACATGTGTCCTCTAAAAATATCCTTGGTTTGGGTTCAGAGTACAAAAAAATAGAAAAGAGTATAAGATACTGATATGAACAGGAGACAGGGAAATATTGGGTAGAAGAAGGTGCTTCCCTGGCAAAAGGCCCACCCTCAAGTCTGGAAACCCGTGGTCCTAAATGGAAACAGGAATCTCTGTTTTCACACCCAAATGTTACCTTTTGGCCCACCACACCCCCCTATCCCGTATCCATACAAACCCCAAACCCTGGGCTCCAAGAGCAGACAAAAAGAAGAGCAGAAGAGTGGCAGAATGACGCTGCAGAGAAGGAGAGAAGATAAGGAGTGTTTGAACATCGAGAAGAGTTCAGCTAGGGACACTCAGAGAGGAGATTGGCCACTGGATGGCCAAACTCCAGGGGAAGATCATCTTCCCACTCCATCCCCTTTCCAGCTCCCTATCCATCCTGCTGAGAGCCACCTCTATCACCCAGTAAAATCCCCCCCGCAATCACCATCCTTCAACTCTGCGCATGACCTGATTTTTTCTGGATGCCAGACAAGAACCCTGGTACCAAGAAAGTGCTGAGCTGGTTGACACTTAAGCTGTCTGCAAACAGCAGAGCTAAAAGAGCACTGTAGCACATCCACTGGGCTTTGAGAGTCACAGGCACACACCCCTAGATGCCACCCTGGTTCTGGAGCCCAAAAGTGCTTGCAGGCTCTTGCACCTGCTTGTCTGCGTGCTCCCCATCCCGTACGGGGTATGAGCAGTGGCAGCAGCCGAACAAACAAGCCACACCCCTGTTGCACGTCCTGTGACGGGAGTCAGGGAACGCTCCCATTTCAATATCGTTTAGAACCCAATAGTTTCCTTCCTGACATGTGACTTTTTTATCTTAAATCTGGAGGAAACAGAGTACAATTTACATATACTAATGAGGACAGCCAAAACTTGCATACCACTGAATATTTTAGGCAATTCCAAACTAAGGGTTACCACAAAAACAGAAGCACTGATTCTAGGCCAAAGATTTTAGACAATAAGCATACTAATTTCCAACAAGTTGTTCATTTAAAAGAAAATAGAAATTGCTTCCTAATTTTAGTAGTAAAAATATCCATTTTAAGTTACTTTACTTTTTAAAACATGGAAAAGTATTTATACGTGGGATCTAATTTCTCCCTTATTTCAACAAACAAGTAGGTGGAAGAATAGAATATCTTCCTGCCAGGTTAAGGATGGTTTGGGTTAAGTACCACTTCCAGGTAGGATGAGACCACAGCTCATGTAAAATATTCCCGACCCTCTACTCACCTAAGGCATTTTAGTCTCAATTGTAATTATATTATAATTTTAAATTTTAGTCTCAATTATAATTTGATATTTAACCTGAAGTACTCAGAGTCGAGTTGATTATACTTTTCAGTTCACAGCACACTGTCATTATCAGTCCCTGCAGTCTTTATTTTACTTATTATTCTCTTTTTTTGCTTGATCCCATGTCCATTTCCCTCACTCTCTCTTTATGCCCCCCAACCCTAAAGACACCCCCATTAATGGGTGTCTGATATCAAAATATAATAGGTATATATAGGGGGCAGTTTATTTTTGAAAAATAAATAGTAGTATGGTATATTTTGTGTTTTGAGTTTACTTACATGATATGCTAGAGATTTCATGATTTCATTGTTTCTTACTATCTTTCATTCCATGCTTCCATGCCTCCATCTCTCTCCCTCCACAATGCTACAGTGAAGATCCCTGCATATGCCCCCTTCTCTGTGTGAATTACTCTGGGTATGTACTCAGGCCTGGAGTTCCTGGATCACAAGGTATACCCATAAACATCACTTTTGCTAAATATTGCCAGGTTATTCTCCAGAATGGTTGCACTAATGCATACTTCACCAGCAGTGTTTAAGAGTTCTAGCATCCCCAGGTCCTCAGGAATATTTCTAAATTTTTCCATTCTGGTAGATATAAAATATTATTTTATATTTATTTTAATTTGCCTATGTCTTATTTATGAGTTTGAGTAAATTTTCATATACTCGTTAACCTTTCAGATCTCTCTTCTCTGAATTGTCTATTCCTATTCTTCAACCATTTCTATGGAGTTTGTCAAACTGTGTTGTTGAATTTTAACAATTCTTTTTCTAATCTAGATATCAGTTCCTTATTTTTGTTATGGTTCATGCAAAATATCTTTTCCCAGTCTGTCATCAGTCTAATGAATTTGATCTATCATACTTTTATTGAAAAGAAATAATCTAATTTGATTGTAGTCAAATACATCACCCTGTTTTCCTCTTGAATTGTGGTTTGGTTTTCTTATTTAAGAAGACCTTCCTCACTCCAAACTCACAAAGATATTATTTCCCATTAGCTTTATAGTTCCATTCACATTTAATCCTTCTGAAAGATTAATTTTTAATGTCTTATAAGAATATGACAGTTTTTTATCCAGATAGTGGCCTGATTTCCCTAATACCAGACATTAAATAATCTATTGACATATATATTTGTGATGCCACACCTATTATATGCCAGGTTTCCAAATAAACACGGGTCTGCCTTTAACTCTTTCTTCGGTGACATGGATTTATTTCCCTATTCTTTTACATATATTACACAGTGTTTATTGCATGTATGTTTATAGTATGGTTCTATATCTGTCAGAGTGACTCTCCCTGTTTGCTCCTCTTTTCAAATTTGACTTAGTGGTTTATGGGCAGTTGTTAATCCATATAAATTGTAGATTAAGCTCTAGGTCATTTCTTCAGTTTTGTGATCCTGAAAGACCACATGATCTTTTATTCCCCTTCCTCATCAGGGGCTATGTCTTTATCCTAGCCTTTATGTCATTTCACCTTATAGTGCAATTAATAGAAACCCAACTCAAAGCAACTTAAGTAAATAATAATAATAATGCAGCAAGTACTCAAACAGCATCATTGGGACTTTGTCTTTTCCTCCACATCTTGATTCTGCTTTCCTCTGGGTTGGCTTCCATCTCACACAAAATTTCTCCAGGAGTCAGTCCCCAGATACATCTAACTTTCCTAGCAACCAAGCAAAAAGAAGCTGTTTCTTCCATAAAAGCTTCAACAGGGCTCCAGGAGGCGTTCTCATGCCCCATCCCTCCCTGTCCTGAAACATGTGCATCCTGAAACAACTGATGTGACCAGAGTATGGAAGGCTCAGCATGGCCTGGCCTGTGTTATTTGTCTGCCCACCCCTGGATCAGCCCCATCTGACACACATAGACTAATAGTGAAGGAGTAGTTCCACAGAGAAAATGCTATCACCAGAAAAGAGAACAGATGTAGAACAAGAAAAAGCTTCAGAGATTAACTCTCCAACTGTGGCAATCCCTCACACTTATTTATTTACGATGCCTCCTACCAGAATATAAGTTCATTGAGGGCAGGCTATGTGGCTATCTACCTCTGAGGCCCCAGTTCCTAGTCAAGTGTTATTACATAGTGGGCACTCAACAGATAATCTATTACATGTCTTCATCTGTATCCTTTGTGATATCCTTTATAATAAACCGGTAAACATAAAAAAAGATATCTATTACATGTGATTAAGTGAATGAATAAAAGAATGCCAGAAGTAGCTGTTAGGGCTATGTGAAAAGAATAGGAAGCAGCAGCCAATGCATCAAACCTATTAAACTGGGATTTTAACAGGTAAGACATCAACCTCAGAAATGGAGTCAACATTCCTCTGTCACATGGATGTAAAACCTAAAACTTAATTCCACCACCCTTCCCAATGTCCTGACGCCTTCTATAAAGGGAAGTTTAGTGGTTAAGAGTTTTAGGATCTGACAGACCTGTTTCGCATCCTCACTCCACCACCTATTAGCTATAAGAACTTGGCCCATTTAACCATCTAGAGCCACACTTTCTTTGCTCAATGGGGACTAATACGTACTTTCTAGAGTTGTTATATTTTGAAAGGTAAGTACATAAAGATCACAGTCCAATGTCTGCATTGGTACTGGGCTATAAGAAAGTCACTGCTGCAACAGATATTTTTCAATCACCTACTATGTGTCAGGTGAGGTGCATGGCTCTGAAGAACCAAACTAGGTAAATTAGACATGATCTCTTCTCTCAAGTTGCCCATAGTCTTGCAGGAAAGAGAGAGAATTTGAAAAAGCAGTAACACTAAAATGTGGTAAGCATAGTATTAGGGAAGTACAGGGTGCTAGTAGACACAAAGTGGACCACTTAATCTAGTCTATAATAATTAGGGAAGGCTTCCCAGAAGTTGATTCTTTTGATGAAACTGCAAAGATGAATAAGAATTAGCAAATGTAAGGGTGAGAATGTTTAAAAAGGAGACAATTCCAGGCAAGGGATGGGGTTGCGGATGTGTCATATTTGAGCAAGATCTTGTCAAATTTATAAAGAAAAGAAATTCTCATTGGTTCTCAATACATGTCATTTAATATTAGTATAACTGTTACTACTATAATTACATCATTATTAATATCTGTTAACTCTTATGATACCCTATAGAATGACCCTTTCTTCTCTTTTAAAAAAATCTTTATTGATAGTCACACAAACATTTATTCCTTGATTTTCAAACGGCAGAGTATGTTTTATTTAATTTTAAGGGATTTATCAAAGACCCTGGGCCATAGAGTTGAAGGATATGCACTCTAGATCTGGGAAGCATTTGGAAGAAATAAGTGATGTTAACTATATATTCTGATTAAAAGAAGTTGGAAAAATATTGAAGAGATTGAAGAATAAGGTATGATCTTGCCCTGTGGTGAGGAAATTGATACGGTCAACTTCACGGGAGCTTTCAATCAAAAGTAGACATTCCTATGAAGAACATGGCAGCAGGAATGGAGAAAGAAATAGAAATACAAGGAGTAGCTCTCCTGGTTTTGCTTTGTTTATTCACCTGGGAGGAGTGGTTGAAGCATAAAAAATTAAATCCATGGGCTCTTCATATTCAATGAGGTTATCACAAATTCATCATTGAAAATTAATTAAGCTTTGAGTACTTGTTTCTGTAAAATGTGATATGAATGGACCCTAGTCACCAACACTCTTCACCTTAGAGATAGGCACCTGGGGTGTGACATAGTGAACCTTATCCCTGGTGTTGCCACCACAACCTGAGTGAATTCTTCTTCTCAGCAGTATGCAGCCATGATTGCATGGAAGTACTATCTACAGAGTTTTTAAAGGCATATAGATGCCCAGACCCCAACTCCACTGAGTCAGACCTACTGAATCAGCATCCTTATGGGTGAAATCTGGATCCCCCAACACTGTTCCCTCTCTGCCTCTCCTGCTACACTTCCCCTGGGTCACTTCACTCCACCCAAGTGGGCCTCTTTGTTCTTTACATTAATTATCTATTGCTGTGTAACAAATTATCCCCTATTGGGGGAACCCACCCCCAATATTTCAGTGTAGGTTCTATTTTCCCTAAGCGTCTGCTGGTCTGAGAAATAAAAAGAAAGAGTACAAAGAGAGGAATTTTACAGCTGGGCCACCGGGGATGACATCACATATCAGTAGGTCTGTGATGCCCACCTGAGCCACAAAACCAGCAAGTTTTTATTAAGGATTTCAAAAGGGGAGGGAGTGTATGAACAGGGATTAGGTCACAAAGATCACATGCTTCAACAGGCAAAAAGAAGAACAAAGATCACATGCTTCTGAGGAAACAGGGCAAGGACAAAAGCAAAGATCACAAGGCAAAGGGCAAAATTAGAATTACTGATGAGGGTCTATGTGCAGCTGTGCACGTATTGTCTTGATAAACATCTTAAACAACAGAAAACAGGGTTTGAGAGTAGGGAACTGGTCTGACCTCAGATTTACCAGGGCAGGATTTTTCCCCACCCTAGTAAGCCTGAGGGTACTGCAGGAGACCAGGGCGTATTTCAGTCCTTATCTCAACTGCATAGGACAGACACTCCCAGAGCAGCCATTTATATACCTCCCCAAGGAATGTAATTCTTTTCCTAGGGTCTTAATATTATATTCCTTGCTAGGAGAAGAATTTAGCAACATCTCTCCTACTTGCACATCCATTTATAGGCTCTCTGCTAGAAGAAAAATATGGCTGTATTCTGCCCGACCCCACAGGCAGTCAGACCTTATGGCTGTCTTCCCTTGTTCCCTAAAATCACTGTTATTCTGTTCTTTTTCAAGGTGCACTGATTTCATATTGTTCAAACACACGTTTTACAATCAATTTGTATGGTTAGATACAATTATCACAGTGGTCCTGAGGTGACATACATCCTCAGCTTACAAAGATAACAGGATTAAGAGATTAAAATAAGACAGGCATAAGAAATTATAAGAGTATTATTTGGGAAGTGATAAATGTCCATGAAATCTTCACAATTTATGTTCCTCTGCCATGGCTCCAGCCAGTCCCTCTGTTCGGGGTCCCTGATATCTCGCAACAATCCTCAAACTTAATGTCTTAAAACAAACAAAAAAATTATTTCCCACTTTCTGTAGGTGACGTATCCAGACACTGCTTAGTTTGTATAGTGTCTGACCCATGATAGGTGCTCAATAATAGTCTGTTGAATGAAACAATTTGTGGCACTATCAGAATATTTTCTTGTAAAACCTTGAGCTCATTTGAAAATTGCTTTATAGAAAAACAAGCAGCCACTCCCAACTATATATACCCCTCCATCTGACAGCTGTATTTGTTCTCATCCCGAGTACAACTACTTCCAAGGAAAATTTTTATTTTAGTTTATACGTGGCAATAAGGATTGTCTTAGGCTCCTCTGAAACAGACCCTGAAATGAAGGTTCATATGCAAGTAATTTATTAAGAAAGTGCTCCCAAGAGAAATTGGTAAGGAAATGAGGTAAGCAAGACAGGGAATCAGTAGTTGTCAGGCAACAGCAAGATCAGGAAAAGTCCCAGCCTTGACTTAATCCTGTAGGGAGCTCAGGACCATAAGTTACAACCTCAAAGTTTGTTCCTCCTCAAGACTAGGAATCTGGGCTTTCAAGTCCCATGAAGTCGCCTGTTGACTAAGAGGAATATAAGCTAAGCAGCTCTAGTAAGCCAAAGGTCATCCCCTGGAGGAGGTATGGGTCTGAGTCACTAGAAGCACACAGGCCACAAAGAACTGGTAGGAGGAATCTGAGATCTGAGAAGAGTATTGCTGGCCCATTAAAAAGACTGTAAGAAACAGGCCTCTGGCTTCCTTAAATCCAGCTATGAGTCCAATTTAGAACAAGATGGAATTGCCATCTAATTACATTTAGTACTTATAAAAAAATTTTAAAACCTATGCGATAGTTACAACTAATATTCCTATCTTAACCAAATCAAGTAAGGGACTTGACCAAGATTATGTACATTTAAGTGTTTGAGCCAGGATTCAAACTCTGGTTTATGCCTCAGTATCCATGCTTTCATTATTATTTTGTGATTTAAAATATGTTTATTTTTCTAATTTCACTAACATGATGAAGAAGATACAAGGCTAAATAGGTATCTACTGATAGAAAGGGAAAAAGGTTGCCCAAGTGTTCTGACCTCCTTAGTGCCTCTAGCACTGTAGATACTCAGTAAATATCAATTTATTACATGGAAAAGTAATTGTAATACAGGGGCTTGATTGATACAGCAGGCCTTGAATATTTATAGGTTGGGTACACACAAATCTAATTTCCATCCCAAGATGCTGAATGGTAGGCATGATATAGACTTTATTCTACTCTAGAGCGTTCAATAAGATGTTTGCCATATGGAAAGAGCTTATGCTCAGTATAGGTGTGTATAAACCCAACTCTAAAAGCTTTTAGTCTTATTTCTCCTTTCAGGTGAATTCAAATGAATTTGCAGAGTAATAATTCCAGGGAAGTGTTTAGGGTTTGAGAGATGATGAAAATCTGTTTTCTCCAGGCATGATGGCAGAGAAGATATAGTCATATGCCTCATAATGATGCTTTGGTCAACTATGGACTGCAGAAAGCACAGCAGCCCCGTAAGATTAAAATGGAGCTGAAAAACCCCTACAATCTAGTGATTTTGTAGCTGGAACACATTACCCTCAAGTTTGTGGCAATGCTGGTGTAAACAAACTTACTGTGCTGCCAGTCATATAAAAGTATAACACATGCCATTATGTACAGTACATAATATCTGATATTGATAATAAAGGGCTAGGTTACTGGTTTATGTATTTACTATACTATAGTTTTTATTGTTATTTTAGAATGTATTCCTTCTAATCGCAAAAAAGAAGGCTCAGACAGGTCTTTCAGGAGAAAGAAGAAGCCACTGTCATCATAGGAGATGACAGCTCCATGTGTGTTATTGCCCCTGAAGACCTTCCAGTAAGAACAAGATGTGGAGGTGGAAGACAGTGATATTGATGATCCTGACCCTGTGCAGGCCTAGGCTAATGTGTGTGTTTCAGTCTATGTTTTTAACAAAAAGTTTAAAATGTAAAAAAATGTTTAAATAGAAAAAAGCTTATGGAATAAGGATAGAAAGAAAATATTCTTGTACAGCTCTACAATGTGTTTATGTTTTAAGATAAGTGCTTTTACAAAAGAATTAAAAAGTTAAAAGAAATGTAAAAGTTTATAAAGCAAAAAAGTTACACTAAGCTAAGGTGAATTTACTATTGAAGAAAGAAAAAATATTGTTAATAAACTTAGTGTAGCATAAGTGTACAGCATTGATAAAGTCTACAGTAACGTACAGTAGTAATGTTCTATGCCTTCACATTCACCCATCACTCACAGACTCATCCAGAGCAGCTTCCAGTCCTACAAGCTCCATTCATGGTAAGTATCCTATACAGGTGTACCTTTTTTTATCTTTTATATTGTATTTTTACTGTACTTTTTCTACATTTAGAGATGCTTAGATGCACAAATACCATTGTGTTACAATTGCCTATAGTATTCAGCACAGTAACATGCTGTACAAGTTTGTAGTGTAGGAACAATAGGCTATACTGTATCGCTTAGTGTGTAGTAGGCTATACCATCCAGGTTTGTGTACATTCACTCTATGATGTTTATACAACAACATCTCTAACAGCACGTTTCTCAGAATATATTTCTATAGTTAAGCAAGCCATGACTGTTTTCGGGGATCACCAAATTCAGCTGAAAAGCCTCCTGCTACAGGCACAGATGCCCTCATCTGATCTCATTAATACAACTGTGATGCTGTATTGAGCAGACACTTGCCTGTCATACATGTTGCTTCTTGTTGAGTCACTGGGGCACACCTGGAGTCCTCAGATTACACACAGGCAAAAAATGTAGAGACCAGGTGGATGGGGTGAGGTGGTGATACCAATCAATAGGGATTTTAAAATCTTAAGTTCTAGCTTTTTTGTTTGCTTGTTTTGGATGATGCTGATACGTTTGCAGTAAGCTAGCCACCCAACTTTATTATTTCTAGCAACTAATAGCGATACCTTTCCTAAGTGACTATTTTTTTTTTTTTTTGAGACAGGGTCTTGCTCTGTTGCCTAGATTGGAGTGCAGTGATGCCATGATGGCTCACTGCAGCCTAGATCTCTGGGGCTCAAGGGACTCTCCCACCTCAGCCTCTTAAGTAGCTGGGATTACAGGCACACACCACCACTCCTGGATGATGTTTTCTTTTTTTATTTTTAGTAGAGACAAGTTCTCACTATGTTGCTCAGGCTGGTCTCAAACTCCTGTGCTCAAGCGATCCTCCTACTTCAGCCTCCCAAAGTACTGGGATTACAGGCGTGAGCCACCATACCCAGCCCTAGGTGACTCTTTAAGGTTGTAGTTCAAGTAATCAGATAACAGAATGAAACTAACCAGTCTGTAATTTTGTTTACCTTTTAATCATATTATAATATATATGCAAAAAGTGCACATAAGTGCACAGCTCAGTGAATTTTCACAAGTTGAACACACAAACTGAACCTCTCTAATCACTACCCCAGGAGCCTCCCTTGTGCTCTTTTCTAGGAACTGCACCTCTCCCAAGAGTAAAAACTCTCCTGACTTCTAACACCATAGACTAGTTTAGCCTGTTTTTGGACTTTATATAAATGGGATCCTACAGTGTGAAATTTTTTGTGCTTGGCTTCTTTTGCTCAACAATATTTGTTGAGATTTATCCATGCCATTGTATTTAGCTGCAGATCCTTTATTCTAACTGCTCTATATTATTCCATTGTGTAAAAATGCCATAATTTGTTTATTGTTTCTACTATCAATGGTCATTTGTGTAGTTTCTGGGATTTGGCTATTATGAATAATGCTGCTGTGAACATTCTTGTACACATCTTTTGGTGCAATTCTGTTGGGTACACACTCAGAAGTACGAATGTTGGGTCATAGTATGAGCATGTATTCAACCACAGTAGATAACACCAAACACTTCTGCAAGGTGGTATTTTCACTTGTAATTTTTGTCTGTGATTTTTCACCCTCTAACCTTGGTGTAATTAACATGGAACTTGTATGGAACTAACCAGTTAGAGACTACGCAACTGCAGCCCCCTTCTCCTAAGGATGCAAGTCCTCCAAGAATATTAATTATCTAAAGTTCCCAAAAGTACCTTAACCCTGGGAGATGCTCTGCAAACATTATCTTTACCCCAGCAATGAAAAAAGGCAACCTGGGGATTTCATGTTGTTGGTTATACATACTCCCAGGATAAAATGGTTATAGCACTTGAAACCATTTTTTACTTTTGTTGAGAGAAGAATTTCACAAAGTCCAAAGCAATTACAAAGAAGCCTTTCCAAAAAAGATGGAGGTTGGATCAGAGTTCTTCTGCTTTACACACACACTACAGCTAAAGTCCCAGGTGGCCCATTAAAACAGAGATCGGCTGGTACCCTTTTCAATCCAAAGAAGCCATCCCAACAGTCTCTAGAGCGGGATATAAATCACGGCTGTGTGTAGCTTTGAAAAATCTGTCTTTTGTTGCTAATCTCTCTGTTCTGAAAGGGTGAGGGGATATACAAAGGCATGCTACAATACTCTGCAAATGGACAAACAAGTTCCAGACAATGGTTCCTGCCCTTGCCAAAGTTGTGGTTCAGTTATTTTAATAAGCTCATTGGGATTTATTCTCATTACTGTGCTTTACTCATTAGCTCCTTGAAGTTACTGCTGGGTACCTCCGGGTGGAGGCCCAAAACCTCAGCATTCTTCTAACAGGCTCAAGACCAAGGGAGGGAGGGGTGTCAAGGCTTCATGCACGGCCTCAGTGAGGTACCGCCTGCCTGGAACTTCTTCCTGAAGAGGAGAGGGAGGGCACTGAAGATGGGAACAAGCAGTCACACACAGGACATAACAGGGAAGGCTTCTGTGGCAGCCTAGACAAAAGTTCCTCAGCCCATGGGGTTTGATGACGCAGGAAGTGAGTCCCTCTCAAACATCTCCATTCCAGCTTTGGTTGGTCATAGTCCACTTACTACAGGGCTTCCAGTGTAATTCCATGTAGGCAGTTTTACTAAGTTTCATCACAATAGTGTACTTCTGAGCCTTGTTCTGAAAGGAAGTTTATTCAAAGAGAAGGAAAAGAAGAGAAATACTAAGTTCTTTATAAAGCAATGACAACAAATTGAAGCTTTATAAGAATATACTGCATTTAACATTTGTTTCTTCTCCCATTTCACCATGGTGACATTCTGCTGTGCTTATCATACTATTATTATATTACACTAGTGGAATCAGCCCCTTCCTTGGCTCCTCATGCCTTCCAAAACCAATTTAAACTACTTACTATCCCTGTCAAGGCCCTTCACCACACAGGTCCTGGCTAAATTCCCTCTCTTGTCCTAACTCCTCTCCTATGTAATTCTTATACCTGAATTAAGTATATTTTCATTCTGCCTCCTCTACCTCATGCATTTTATTCTACCATCCTTGTTTGTTGGGAGAACAAATTGTCCATTCCTTAAATGTCACCTGCCTGTCCCCACATAATTCCCATCCCTCCTCATGACTATGACCTTTCAGAATATCTATTCGAATTACTCTCCTGATCCCCAGGTGAAAAAGGACCACTTATTGCCTGTCATCATGGAAAGAGGGTGGGGAATTCTCCTCAAAACTTTGATGTTGCAGAAACATATGCTGTGCACACCAGGAAGAATCTGGAAAGACTAGTCATAATTCTACAACACAATCTTCCTCAAAGCTTTTTCTAACTTGTTTCCTCATTTGTCAACACATCATGACTGAAAGGTATGGGAGGTCATTTATTATTACTCATGTATGCGACCAAAAAGACAAACAAGTTAAGTAACCTGGTCAGCTAGCCAATGGGAAAATTAGAGCTCATGATATTGATACTTCTGAATTAAACTCTTTATTTTCAACAAATATTCTTTAAGGCAGGTTGAGATTTTTATGCATTTTTTTTACACTTGGATAGCCATAAGGCATGGTATCAGACATTGTAATATGCAATTTACAAAAACTTCCAGAAAAAAACGTTAGCTATTGATCCTCACAACAACCCCTGGAGGAGGTGGGGCAACAATGGTAGGTCTATTTTGTGGAGGAGGAGATGAGACAATGTTAAGTGGATTGTGCTTGACTTCTGCCTCCTAGTTGGTGTTTTTTCCACTATATTATACTTTCTTAGAAAACTTGAGAAGCATGAAAAGGCCTTCCTACGCATGTACACTTCTTTAATAAACCTCCTGTAACAGCTAAATATTATGCATTATAAACTCAATCCTTCAAATTTAAATATTATGTTCCCATATGTAAAATATAAAGCCATAATTTTGAACATTTGTTCTAGGATAGCTCACTGTCACCTTTGGTAGCAGGAAACAAGGAAAATAGCAATTCAGAAATAAATTGCCTGAAGTTCCAAACGCGATGTTTGTTGAAACACCAGTGAAAAAATTCCTGAAGAACGGGGTATGTGTCCTGTCTTCATGACTTGCTATTTTGTGACCTTGGGCAAATTACCTTTAAACAATAGTTTCCTGTCAGTACAGGAGAGATGGTAATAGTACCAAAGTGAAATGAAGCAGAGAAACTGTCAGCAGGGTACACTCTGGAAACTGTCAATTACTACAAAAAATGTTAGTTCCTGCCACTGGTTTCCTCAAAAAACTGATCATCTTTATAATCTAATATGATTCACGGGGTCTACAAGGTTGCCCTGGAAATAAGAGAGGTTACAAGGGATCATGGTGACAAACCACCTTCTCGCTATCTCGCCAAATCCCTAAACCACAAAGCTTTTTATTATTCCATGATTGGACTTCTGCACTCAGAGTGTGTTCCAAGGACTCAGGTCAGGATGGAAACAGACCTGGGAAGTCCAAGCCTGCCCCCATGAGATCAGCTCTGGAATCAAGCTGGGCAGCACAGGGATACTTACAGTGCCTCCAAGGGTCCCTAAGCAACCCTAGGAGAAGGGAAAAGCTAACCTGACCAAAGGTACAACCAAGATGATTGTCGAGATAATAACTCATGCTTTATTTGTCTTTTTTATTAATTTACACATTTAACAAATATTTATTGAAAGCCAACTTTTGGCCAAGTACTCATTAAGCTTAGGGGTGTTGTTAGTGGACAAAAAGACCTGGTTCTTCCCTTAGTAAGCTTACGGTCTAGTTTTCATAAATAAAGGAACTACCCACCCCAATCACATAGTTCCAAGAGTACTTCTTCAAGGCATCTCACACCCAGTCCTGATACCTTAAAACACCAAAAACACTCATTGGAATCCTCCAATCATCTGAATCCGTTTCCTTTCCATCAACTTCCCTTGTCTTGCCCACCCTATTCATCACTCCTTTGACCTTGCTCTCAGGTATAAGATTCCTTTCCTGCCACTTCTACAGCTGGGAACAATTTCCTAGTCAGTGAGAAATCCCTTTCCATCTTCAAAGGAATACTGCTCATCATTCTAACTATTATAGCTGTTCTCACTCCCTGGGCTCTAGCTACATTAGACTTTGTATTTCCTCAGACACACCATTCTTATTCTTGCCTTAAGTCATCTGCACCCTCTAAACTTGCTACCTAAAAAGTCCTCCCCAGGAACGAACCCTTCTCTCTATCAACACACACATGTATGTATACACACACACACACACACACACACACACACACACACACTTACTTCCCTCAAACCTTGACCAAGTCCTCCTCCCACTTCAGGCCTCAGTTTAACTATTGCTTCTAGAAGGAGGCCATCCTGACCCCTGAATTGATGTTGGCTTTTCCTGTTCTGTAGTTGATTATCCCCCATGTGCTCCCTCTGTCTCCCTTTTCACGATCTTCTTCACACTCATAGTTCCTTCTTCAATATTTTTCTGTAAATTTTATTAAGGCATAGAGTTTATCCCCCAGTACCTAGAACATTGCCTGCACAAGACACTTAACAAATATTTTTTGCATGATTAAATGAATCTCTACTACCTCCTACACTAAGGTGAATTTTAAACATGCCTGCTTACTTCTCTGAGTTGACCTCAAACTTTTCTCCTTCCTTTGAGAGTTCATCCCTTCAGCGTATAGCCACCTGAGAGCATAACCTTTTTTCCCTCCTAGTGTGATTTCTCTGCCATGTACATCTGTAGCACCATATGAATATTAAAAGCATAATCACATTTTCTGCAGTTGGAATATTGTGAGTAAATGACAGGGAGAATTGTCTCTCTACTGTGTGATTAAACAAGACACAGAGTATTACATGTTGTCAGAAATGGGTGAAGTCAACATAATCTAGATTAATGTGGATGGGACTGGCTTACTGTGTCTCAAATGGATGAGGAATCTGGCGTTGTCCCTGGATGATGTGGAACAAAAATAGACAAGTTCTGAAACTAATGTCTTTTGATCTTTCCATACCTCAAGCAACATTTCTTCATTACTGTGGAATGGGGAAAAGGTAGGATTATTCAGAACACCTGGGGCCCTTGGAGAAAGAGAATAAAAGCACTAAAAACTCAACTCTGATAAACATAAAACTTGTGTCCTGCCAACACAAAATGCAATTTTTCCAAGATACAAATTTCATGGATAAATTTAGGGAACCAAAGGGACATTTGATCAGTTGGCAGCTGAGCTAGAGCTGGTTCTGGATCCAAATTATTTCCTCAACTTTTCACATGCAACCACTCCCCCCATCCACTGCCACTTGAGTATCTCACGGTGTCAAATTCAGCCTCTGGATTCTTTCACATAGGCTTTCTTTGCAGGCCTTAATGAGAAAAGAACACAGAAAACAAAGGGACATGTGAGTTCTTCCTCCACCTCTCTGCCATCTGAGGGGATCCAGTGTCTAAACTCTTTATAAAATTCTGCCTCAAAATGGTGCCGCATCACACATATGCAAGCAAAAGGAGACGTAGGTGGAGGCGGAGGTGAGATTGAGGGTGAATGGTTCAGGTCTTGGAGACAAGAAGGTGTTTTTTCTTTTTTATAATATCCTGGAGTCATAGACAATAAGTTTTTTCCAAAAAGAAAAAGACATTCTTCTTTAAAAAAAAAAAAAAAAGCCAGATCTGAGAGTCTGTACAATGACATTCAACTGGGGTTCCTTCCTTTAAACATAAACAGATGTATAATGTCCACCAGCCCTCCAGTAGAATAAAGCCTAAGTCGCTAAAGGCAGAATGTGGCTGGATATCATTGAGAAACTATGATTGAAAAAAATCCTATTGTCTAAATGGCTATAGTTAAGATAATCAAATGCATTATTTCATTCAACCAACAAGTACTGAATATCTATTCTGTACCCAGAGACTGCACTTAGTGTCAGGATACTTACACAGGAAAGAGGTCTGGGCCCTGGAGGAGCTCATATTCTAGTGGAGGAGACAAGAAAACAAAAACTTGTAATAACATTGTAAGGAAGGAAGAAAGGGAGGGAGGGAGGAAGAAGATGGAAGTGAAAGAAAATGAGATACTACAGAAGAGAAACTGCCTATATCTACCTGGGGAATTCTAAAATGACTCCAGTGGATGGCACTAACATGAATAATTAGTAATGGCATTTGCAATAATCGTTATTGTTCTTTTTATTGTCAAACCTTGTTTACTGTGAAGTGACACACAGTGGTTTGAATAATATAGATCAAGTACATTAAAACATCACTTTTTAGGTTAGAAAGTTCCTCACATTATGTGAAACACCTAAAACTGGTCGTGAAGAATTAGGGAAAATGGTTCGCATTGGTTAACAGGAAGGTCATTGTACAACAGGACCCCTGACAAAATTGAAGGAAGCCAAATGTGTCTTGCTAATAATTCAACCCTTCCAGGGAGTGTGTAATATTTTTAAAGAGACATGTAAAATACAATATTCAAATTAGAAGAGACCTAGGCAGACATCTAGCTTAACACTAGCATTCCTTTATTACATATATCTGTCTACTCATCTGCCCTATTAGTCTATAAACGATTTGAGGATGGGGCCTAAGTATTATTTATTTTGTACAATTAGACCTTGGTACAGTGCCAAGCAAGAAGCAAGAGCTCAATAATGTTTTCTAGAAAAAGATATTAAGTGACTATTTACTTAAACCCTTTATTTTAAAGATAAACAAACTGAGCCCCAGAGTCATGGAAAACCAAAAGAAAAAAACAAATTTGTTAGTGGCAAAAACAGAGCTAGAACTCAGGTCTCTTGACCCCAGGCCAGGTCATTGTCCATCATATATCTTCCCGCAGCTTTTCCCCATGTACCTTCACCTCTTACACAAAAGGTGCAAAAAGAACAGAGGTCAGAAATTTGGAGCCTCATTTTTAAAAAATCTTGCTAGTCATTGAAACACTAAGTCTCACCTCTGACATTGTCCCCAAATCCCATAGATTCTTGAGACAGTTAGATATCCCACAGAGAACGTGAAACTGATCCATGGGAAGTGGATAAAACCAGTTCCCATGGTTTTATCCACTTTCTACTGTAGGTCATCAGTGGATTTCTACTTTAGGACACAAATGCTTTTCACTATGCCCCACATTCTACCAAAGCAGGTAGCTCTCCACCAAATCAATGAGCAACATTGACCCTGTGCATGACCATAAGCTCCACTAGCTTACTTGCTATTTTGAGCAGCAGAGGGTCTTCTTCTTGGGCTGACATTGTTTTTATTTTTGTATACCTTGTACTAGAATGTTGATGGTGGTGATGGTGGTGATGATTTTTATTTTCTATTTATCTTTGATTATAGTTGATTGCATTTTACATTACGAATTGCATGTAAAAAGTTAAGACAGCAGGGGCACAAAGCTTCAAAGAGTTTTGTAAAGAAACAAAGCAAGACGGTAGGTATGATAATGGTGCTTTCAAAACATCTTGGCATGCAGTCCTTTATCTAACCCACCAAGAATAGAAATTCTTATTCTTATTCTACAAATAAGAAAATAAAGCCTCTGGCAGTTGCCCACATTAACGTAGCTAATGAATGGTGAGGCTGAGTCTCCAACTCAAGACTTTGGACTTCAAATCCACTTGGAATTTTGCCTAAGACAAGTCAGGACAAAGGGTAATCAGCAAAATCCAGCAAGGGAAAATTATATTTTCTTATGAGTAAACTGAATAACTAGAATCAAATAGATTAAATTAAGCTATTTTTGTGTCAAGTTCCCAGACTTAAAAGTGAAATTCTTAACCTCAGATTCACTCTCTATATGAGGCCACCATATTGACCCTAGAAAACTGTGGATCTTGGTCATTCTCATGGCATAGCAGGGAGAAAAAATAACTAAAAGCAATTAAGAGGGCCAAGCAAGTAGAAAGTTATTTTGACCCCAGTTAATGTGGAAACAGGTTTAGAAAAAAAACAACAACAAAAACAAAATAGAAAATATGAGCCATCCTTTGTGAGGCTCTAGTATTCATTTGTCATAATTAAATTTGATATTGGATTACAAGTGCATATTACCAAAGATTCCAAAAACTTGTCACTTCTGATTATCTTTTTTTTTTTAAGAGACAAGATCTCACTCGGTCACCCAGGCTGGAGTACAGTGGTATGATCATAGCTCATTACAGCCTTGAACTCCTGAGCTCCAGCAATCCTCCTCCCTCAGCCTCTCAAGTAGCTGGGACTATAGGCACACACCATCATGTTCAGCTAATTTATTTATTTATATATTTTTTAGAGACAAGGGTCTTACTATGTTGCCAAAGCTGGTCTTAAACTCCTGGGCTTAAGCAATCCTCCCACCTCAGTCTCCCAAAGTGCTGGGATTACAAGTGTGGGCCATCCTATCTAGCCCTAGAATATCTTCCTGCTGCACAGATGTATAGCTCTGAAGGCAGAGGAATACTTCATCAAGAAAGCAGTAACCAATATGACATGGAGTTCCTAAATTTTTACAGGGCTTTCAATACTTGATTCTTCTTTAGTTATGATACATTGAATCATATTTAAGCTTATTCCACTAATGTCAGTTGTTGGTTAATTAATGAACACACAATCTGATATTCTCATTCTAACAGGGATTCTAACAGGGATCTTGTCCCAAGACATTCTAACAGGGATCTTGTCCCAAGAAAACTTACTTTTTCTTTGATTCACCAATGATCCCAATGCATCTCCTCAGAGCATAAATTATTTTCCAGTGTCACTCAGACCTCAAACATTTAATTATCCAGAACAAAAAACTGTGATTGGCATTAACAATGACTGAGCCCACACGTGGCTTAAGTGGACTTTTGGGGACTCACTAAAGCCACTCAGTTATCTCCAAGAAACTTTAATAACATAACCTCTAACTTTTAATCTAATTTATTTATATGGTTTGGCTGTGTCCACCCAAATCTCATCTTGAATTGTAGCCCCCATAATCCCCACATATTGTGGGAGGGACCCAGGGGGAGGTAACTGAATCATGGAGGTGGGTTTTTTTCATGCTGTTCTCATCATAGTGAATAAGTCTCACAAGATCTGATGGTTTTATAAAGGGCAGTTCCCTTGCACACTCTCTTGCCTGCCACCGTGTAAGACGTGCCTTTGGTCCTCTTTCACCTCCTGCCATGATAGTGAGGCCTCCCCAGCTATGTGGAGCTGTGAGTCTATTAAACCTCTTTTTCTTTATAAATTACCCAGTCTCAAGTATGTCTTTATTAGCAGCATGAGAACTAACTAACATATTCATTATATACTACTGAATATGTGATATATCCAAAGCACTACATTAAGTGTAATAGGAAGTCTAAAGATAGAAAATCATGGTATTTGCTCTCAAGGAATTTATTATTTAATAGGAGATATTATATAGGTTTATAAGAGGCTATACAACAAGTAAAAGTACCACAAGATACATCAAAGCACTCTAACAGCTAATATTTGTTGTTATTTTCTACCTTCAGATTGACTCTAGCCAACTACAAATACCATGCTGTAGGTCTAGACAGAATTAGTGGTGACAATAATATGTGCTATTACAAAGGACATCAGGAACCTTCTGATGGGCCAGGCTCTGCCTCAGGATCAAGGTTCCAATGGAAGAGGTTCCATGAATGTGTCCTCCATTCTGCTGTGGCCTGTCTTCCCTTGCCTGACCCCTTCCTAGCTGCTTCTCTCTCTTTGCCTGCCAAGTCCTTAGGCCATCAGTCTTGCCTCACCTAACCTGTGGGATCTGCTCTCTTGATTTCTGACCACTTTCCCGGGTTTAGCCCACTGCTTTGCTCTGACATATGACATGCATGTACATTACATTGTTAGACTACTCAATGGGCTTCTGATGCCTGACCCTGTTTTGACATTGGACCTTAGATCTGGTTTCCTCTTGGGACTAGCTCTGCCTAAATTTTTTCAATCCACACCTAATCCCCAGTGGGAAGGACAGGCTTGAAACAAATAATTGCAATACAGTGTGATGAATGCTGTGACAGAAATAAGTTCAGAATTCTATGGGAACTCACTGGAGTAATAAATGTGATCCAGTTGTTTTAACAGAGATAATGGAACTAGATTATCTCTGTCAGTGAAATGACTGAATTAGAAGAACCACCTAAAAATAGGATTCATACTCTACAGTGAAACATGAAAAAGAACAAAATCACCAAATTTAACACCCAAACAATAACAACGTGTTGTTATGTAGAAATAGCCACTTTCTGAGAATTTTTTCTTTCAAGGTCTCAATATATCATAACTCATATATCTACAAACTGGGGCAGGAGGGACATTAGCAGTTAGGCTTTGTACTCAGTAAAAAATCATTTTTAGATCACCCTTGTTAGGGAGTCCTTCCATGCCATGTATCCACCCCACACATATTAATCATATACTATGGGCCGGTTTTAGTGCTAGAGCAAGAGATATAAAAAGGAAACAGAGATCTAGGCCTCGAGAAGATTCCAGCCAGGTGGGAGGGACAGACCTGAAGCAAATAATACAGTGTGATGAATTCTGTGACAAAAACAAGTTTAGGATTCTATGAGAACTCACAGGAGAAGGGAATGAAACCCCATGAATATCAGGATAATTGGGAGAGGGAAAGGAGACTAGAAACAGCTTTCCAGAGGAAGGGACTCTTGGGATAAGCTGGAATGAGCCAAGCCACATGAGGTGTATAAGTAGACAAAGCCAAGATGACAGCACAGACAAAGACAAGACGATATAACTAAGAAAAAGCAGAAGAGACAAGCAAGAGCTGGGTCACAAGGCTTTGTCTATTCCAACGAGAAGGTTGGATTGCACCCTGAGGACAGTGGGGAGCTGTCGTGGAACGCTGAGTGAAAGAATGTATAAGATTTGCACTTTAGAAAAAATCACTTCAGCAGCAATGTGAAGGATAGGCTAAAGGAGTATGAGACTAAGGAGTAGAAAAACTAAGTTGATGCATCTAGTGTAGAGGGATATGGCAGGACTACTTGAGCTCAATCCCCAAGGCCAAGGCAAAATGCTGAGAAATAAGAAAAAGCAGCAGCAGCACCTGGCTAGTACAGAAGCAAGCAGGATAATCATAGTCTCATATCAGACCCCAGTTAACCTCACACCTTCCTTTCAAGTCTGTAGAACTTCCCAGGAATATAGACAGTATACTATTCATGAAGAAATACTATGCTTGATGAATAGTACCAAGGTATCTTTCTTCAAGTCTTGGCACTGTCAGGGCCTAACATTGTATGAGTTTTCTCTCTCTCTTTTTGGGTGCTGTGGCATGATCATAGGTCACTAGAGTCTCAAATTCTTAGGCTCAAGCAATCATCCCACCTCAGCCTCCTGAGTAGATAGGACAGCAGGTGTGCAACATCATGCCCAGTTAAGTTTTTAAACTATGATTTAGAAACAGTGTCTTGCTATGTTGCCCAGGCTAGTCTCAAATTCCTGACCTCAAGCAATCCTCCTGCTTCAGTATCCCAAAGTTTTGGCATTACAAAGGCATGAGCCACCACAACCAGTTCTCTCCCTCTCTAACTCCCCTACTATGGCTGCTAGGCAATTACTAGTCAGTCTTATCTCCTGTGCTTGCAAAAGAATAAGAATTTTTGTAATGTGTTGGGAGGATTTGGGAATATCAGATCTTAAATTGGACTCATTTTTCTACTTGCACTGTTGAACTGGAGTTTATTAAATTAAGATACAATCACAATAATCCAGATTAGAAATGATAAGGGCCTAAACCAAGGCATAAGAGGTGTGAGGAAGACAGGGAACTGACTGGAGTGGCATTTTAAAGAAACTTGTCAGATACATGGATGATGGAGACTGAAGAAGAAGGCTGACTTTTCAGGGGACTCCGTACCAGTTCTCTGTCTAATACCTCCCCTCAGAGATAGTGGTAACAGGAAGGCTTCATAGACAGTGAATTATTATAAACAAGAAGAGAAAAGGCTTCCTCCTGAGGATTATAAATTCTCTATTGATTTTCAATAGGTAACATTGGTCATCTTCTATCTGAGATGGCTTAAATTTCATTTACCTTACTCTTAGAAAATAAAACATGTCTTCACACAATTTTTTCCAGCCTTACGATTGTGTCTTTAGGCTTTACATCCTGTATAAAAACATTCATGTATGTGATGACACCAGTTGATCCCTTAGAACCAGTCTATGGGAATTCTAACCACTGAATGTCTTGTTATGTGGGTGTACAATCTACTGATTACTCTTTGTTTTTTGTTACATGCAGAATTCAAGGACTTAGTATTAGGCAGTAAATCTATTAAAGAATATCTTAGACCAACTTTCTTCTTTCCAGCGTTCAATATTATCCAGGCACAAAGGTGAGCCTGTTGATTTCTACCCAAGAATCTGTTTCAAAGGCGCAATCCTGGATGAGCCTCTCCTAAAGCATCTGATTAATCCCAGGAAGGCTAGGATGGAAAATTCTGTGCTGGGATCCAGAGGTCACACAAAGAAATGCATATGTCTCAACCCTGGAAAAGTATCATCTGCATTCCAGCAGCAAACTGTTTTGGAAATGTCGTCCCTCAGAGGAGTTCATGCCAGACCCAATTAAAGTCATGGTAATAAAGAGTGTGGAAAGATGACACAAGTGGCTGGAAAGAATCATAAAGTGTTAGAACTGAAAGAGCTATTAGAGATAATCTACTCTAACTTCCTCATTTACAGTTGAGGAAACTGAGGTCCTAAAATCTAAACCAATAGATTTGCGACATTAACAGGACTGACTCCAGATCTGACTCCAGATTCACTTTTCTTCTTATTACACATTATCACTTCATACAGTTCCAAAGTCATACATATTAGTGCATTCTGGCTGAGATTCAGATATGCTAGCCTGCGGAATTAGGCGCCCTCCTGTCCAGAGGTCATTTGTGTGCACAAGGCTATTAAGGGCAACTGTAGTGGAATGTTTGTGAACACTTAGATAAGAATCTAGCTGCATCCCTTTACTGGTATGGGGCCCAAGACCCCCAGGGAATGACTTGGGTTGTGTCCATAATTAACGTCTAGACAAATACAGACATTTCTGATAGATTGGGGAGATCTCAAGGGAAGCCATGTTCCAAGGAGTGACAACCAGGCCACCAAAGAAAAAGTTGCCATAAGTGGATAGGAGTCTTGGAAGGGATAAACTTAGTATCAGGACCTGATTATAGGAAAGGGAGAAGTTATTCTGGGTATAATATGAGGCTATCTTTAAAACACTCTCCATCTACCCCAACCAGGCCCCAGGGATGACTACATATCCAAGGCAAGAAAAGAGCTGCATGAAAACAAATATATGAAAGAAATGAATCACTCAAAGGCACCTGCATTTCCATGAGAAAGTGACCTCTAAAGAGGGCTGGACAATGAAAATAAAAGACTTTACACTAGGGAGCCAAAGAGCTGTGTCAAGGGACACAGCTACATCTAATGGTGCTTGGCACAAGAAAGGGAACAGGTTCCCTCACTAGCAAACAACTCAGAGAACAAAGATAGGCAGACACGGAGACAGGCTTCAATCAAACGGCAGCAGAAAGAACAGTCACATCAAAGGAATAGGGGCCAAGAATAGGTCATCAACTCTGCCAAGGTATCCAGAGTCTAACATAGCCAACATGGCAAAGTAGGCCACTAACATCAAGGTGACCAGCAGCATAGCCACAGGCAATAAGGAGACATGCCCAACAATATAGGGGTTAAGAGGAGTGCAGCAGCACCCTGTGAATATCAGCAGAAAGGCAGTTCTGTGAAGTCTAACCAAGTCGTAACATAGAACAGGGAAAGACAGTAGCTGAAACAGACAGACTACAGAACAGTAGGCTCTTTTCACACTGCTATATTCCATACACTAAGCACTTTTGCTTGATTTTCTTTAAGTTTTAAAATTCAAACATTTGTGTTGCAGATTGGGTTCCCTAGGAGGAATAAGACTTCTAAAACAACAATTTCTACCCAGGAAGTTTACTGTGGGCAGGGGCTCTTGGGATCATCCCTATGGGAACAGATGGAAGCAACATTGAGCAGAGAGAGAAACTGGTCTGTGATAAGTCACATCAAAATCCTCAGCCATTCCATGGGGAGCTCTAGAGCTGCGATGCCCCTACAGAGTTGTCCCAAGTTGGGTAAAAGGATGCCCCTCTATTAACCACATGGGCTACCTCCAAGAAGGAAGTGTCACCTTGGATGAGGTGACATTCAGCAAAGGATAATTCCTGGTGAGAGACTCCACTAGAAATCAACACTGTCCAACTCTCTAAAACTGGGTCAATGAGTGTTTCAGTCCTCAAGGGAGGATCTGGACAGCATACCACACAGCATATACCACAATTTGTTAAATAAATAAAGGCAACAACCTGAATTATATGTGAGATATATCTACCTTTTTGAGGATTCCTAAAGCCATAAAAGAGAAAGTAAGGTTAAGGTCTAACCATTTGACAGATGGGTATTATTGATCAGCAGACTTAAGGACCAATTGTTCAAGTAATATCAGCCAGAATCTATAAACAAATAGGGTCTTAGAGCATCCAGGCAACAGTAAAACTCTGAAGGGCTAATGGTTCAACCTTCCGCCTACAAGACATCTGAGTGCTGAGAAAGCCCAACTGCTAGTTTCCTGACATCACTAAATGAAAAAAAATAAATAAAACAAAAATGTTTTGGATTTGTGGGTGTGTAACTCACCTGTCCCCTACCTCAGAACTCTATCCAATAATGGAACTTCAAACCAAATGGAGATTCAAATATCTGCTTCTTAATGTACTGGAAATCTTTCAGTGTTTCTTAAAGCAGAAGTCCTGGTAACTAAAGTGCAGAATACAGCCTGAGGCAAACTGAGGTCCTTACTTTCCACCTTCTGTATACACCTTGAAACCTACACACTCAGATATGCCAGGGGCTCCTGCAGAGCAGTCTCTGAGACCCACACTATCCAGATGAAAAGCCTGCATGTCTAACACAGGAATCACCAGCCTGATAAAGGAAGTGCTTTATATGACCAACTTCCCCTAGGAAAACATTGCCTCAAAAATGCCCCAGACTCTAAGAAATCAGACTAGTCTCTCCCATAAGGAGGAGAAAGTGAGAAGTCAAGAGAAAGGGGAAGGGAGTGTTGGCAGAAGCACCCCCTTTATGGGGAGGTGGGTCATAGGATGAGGGACAGGAGCATTCTTCCCCAAACCACTGTATACTTGTTTGTTGGGCCCCTTCTTGATCATCTCCAGGAAGAGGAGGTACATTGTTCACTAGGAAGGCTGTTCCACCTTTGAAACCCCTCTTTATTAAAAAAAAAAATCTTCATTATTCTGTGCTGAAAACTGGCCCCTCTAATTTTCACTCACTGCTATAATTCTTCCCTCTAGGACATCCAGGAGTATCTCTGTTCCCTTTAATACATGGCAGACTCTATCAAACAGATTTAGCTACTCCTTCCCATATGCTGCCTAAGCACATCAGACAAACTTCTACCACAACACCTACCAAATTTTACTGCTAATATGTGTGCTCCTAAAAATGCAATAGCCTAAGCTTCACTCATGGGCTGATTCTATAGGTCTTAGGTGAGTCTAGGACTCTACACTGTTTAGCGGGCACCCAGGGTGCCCAGAGATCCTGCTTTTGGAAACACAGTATCAGACTATGAGGTTCTTAAGAGCAGATATCTTATCCTACTTACCCTTGTATTCTTAGCACTTACTAGGAAGTTCTGAACAAAACTTTATTGAATGAATTAAAAAACTGAACAAAGAAAAAAATGGTTTTAAAGACAGGTATTATTAGCAAATCATCCATAAATCACTTCCTTTTCAGGATAATTGTTTCTGGTTTTCTTCACAACAGACCATTCATGATCCCATCACTCTCCTCTAAAGAACTGTAATTGTCAATATCCCTGTGAAAATGTGGTGTCTAGAGGCCAGCTCATGCTCCACTTGTAGACGTCTGTCCAAGGGACCATTACTACCCTTTATCAGGGCTCAGTCATGCCTCTAAGATAGGTTGAAATTGCAACAATTCCTTTCGGCATCCAAATGACACTGCTGGCCTGCTGGCGTGCATCACACTTGCATTCAACTAAAACTTCTACAAACTACCCCCCATCTTGAATTAAGGCAGTCGATTTTTCTTTACTTAATTGTAGTACTTTTATCCTCCCCCTATTAAATTTCAGCTTAGTTTCAGCTCATTATTCCAGTCAGTCCAAAGCCTTTTGAACATTCATTCTATCTTCCAATGTGTTCGCTATTCTTCCCAGCTTTGTATTATCTGAAAATTTAGTAAGAGATTTTGTGTCCTCTTTCCAATTCAATAATTAACATATTAAACATGACAGTGACAGAGCCAGGGGCAGAAAACTGAAGTACACCTTTGTAGATCTCTTTTTAAATTGACACAAACATCTTAAACATTTTTTGGAGTGTGGCTGTTGCATCAACTATAAACCTACCTAACTGTGCTTCATTCAGCCCATACTTCCTCTTGTCAACAAAGACATCATGAGAAAAACTTGATGAGCTAGAAAAAAATCTCAGACTAGGAGATCTCTTTATTCCAACTCTACCTGCCACAAACTTGCTGTCATATTAGGCAATGTAATTAATCTCTCTGGTCTTGTTTTTTCACTTAAAAATGAGAAATGAGGAATTTGAAATAACTTTAAGATCGCTACCAGCTCTACAATTCTGTTATGTTGGTGAAATATGTTACTTTTTTTTCTTTTTTTTTTAATTTTTGACACAGGGCCTTGCTCTGTGATATGGTTTGGCTGTTTCCTCTTCCAAATCTCACCTTGAACTGTAGTTACTATAATCTCTATGTGTCACAGGAGGGACCCAGTTGGGGGGTGGGGGGGATAATTTAATCATGGGGGCAGTTACCTCCATGCTGTTCTCATGATAGTGAGTTCCCATGAGATCTCTTTGTTTTCTAAGGGTCTTTTCCCTCTTTTGCTTTGCACATCTCCTTCCTGCCACCCTCTGAAGAGGGACATGTTTGCTTCCCTTCTGCCATGATTGTAAGTTTCCTGAGGCCTCCCGGCCATGCTGAACTGTGAGTCAATTAAATCTCTTTCTTTTATAAATTAGCCAGTCTCAGGTGTGTCTTTATTAGCAGCATGAGAATGGACTAATACATTTTGCCACCCAGGCTGGAGTGCAGTGGCTCAATTATGGCTCACTGTAGCCTCTACCTGCTGGGCTCAAGCAGTCCTCTTGCTTCAGCCCCTCAAGTAGCTGAGACCACAGGTGTGTGCCACTCCTAGCTTTTTTGTTTGTTTGGTTTTTTGTAGGGACTAGGTCTCCCTACATTGCCCAGATTTGAAATACAATATTTCTAACTCTAGTAAACTCAGAAAGAAAGTTGGTTTGATATGACTTGTTACTAGTGAACCTCTGACTACCAATAAAAATGACATGCTTTTCTAAATTCCCAAAGCTTTCGTTAAAAAATAATTCATTCTAAAATGTTGTAGTTCTATCTCCCCTCATAGGCAAATGGAAATCAAGAGGTTCTAATCATGGTCTGAGGTGCAAAATTCTGGAAGCTGTAATGGGGTTAGGGCACCACTTACCCACCATGCCTTTAACATGGGAATGGTTAGACCCAGCCTGGACATTTGTATGAAAAAAAATCAAAGCCTCTCATCTGTAATTTTTGAAATTTATATTTTTTATCATAAAAGTTGAGATGTTTCCCTTCCTCAAGTTTTTGACAGTGCTCTGTGCTATGGTTTGAATGTGTGCTCAAAGTTCATGTTTTGGAAATTTGATCCCCAATGCAACAGTATTGGGAAGTGGGGCCTAATTAGAGGTGATTAGGTCATGAGGGCAGACTGAATGAATTAGTGCTATTATTGTAGAAGTGGGTTTGTTACTAAAAGGGTTGTTCATTCCCCTTTTTCTCTCTCTCTTCCCCTTCTACTATGTTTTGCCATGTTATGACACAGCAAAAAGGCCCTCACCAGATGCCAGTACCTTGATCTTGAACTTTCTAACCTCCAGAACCATAAGCCGATAAATTTCTGTTCATTATAAATTACTCAGTCTCAGGTATTGTGTTATAGCAGCACAGAACAAACTAAGACACTCTGCTTTGCCATTTTTTTTGAAGATGATTAGTAGCAGTTATATACAAACATTTCCAAATTCTATCAGTACCCATGTTTTACTTCCTCTTGATTTGAAGATTTGAATATATTTAAAGCAGTTGGATGCCCTCTTGCTTTCATTCATTTATCTCACTCTTTAATTCTTTATTTTATTAATACCTTTCAGTCTTTTAATACCCTTTTCTGTAATAAAGAATAAAATAAATAAGAGCTAGGTAGGTCTGATTATCTTCAACTGTTAATATTGCTTCATCTATCTTTAAATAATGGAACATTTTAATATTTTTCTTGTTTTCAAATTCAGTTTTATTTCAATCTCACTTTATCCTTATTTTAATTCTTTGTGATATAAGATCCTTTGGTGACTTTAAAATGTACATTAAAAAAAAAAAGACTGGACTTTTGTAGAAGCCAGGGTGAAAAACAGAGGAGTCATTTAGAAAAAAACAAAACAGAACAACAAGATCAAGCAGCTGTTTAAGGAGGTCATTTCCAACTCCTTGTAGACGTACCCATGAGATTAAACACTGTAAAGGCTCTGAGGTTCAGAAGGCAGACTAATAAAAAAAAATTGTGGCTACCAGAAATTTAATTTAATGATCACAGAATAATAGGCATTTAAAAAGCAATTAAGGCCTTTCTTCTGAAAACAACCAATGTTTCATTTCATCTTTGCTCTGAGATTTTTTTTAATTTATGAGGACAAGAAAGTAGTTCATCAAATTATGTGTTGTTTTCCAATAAAGATATCTTAATATAAAATAAAAAACACAGGAAGGTACAATCCAAATTCTCTACCATTCATGTCTAAAGAGGGTATATACACTGAGTCTACTCTACTTTCCATAAGCTCCATTAATGATCTATTATAACTGTGCTTTAAAATAAAAGCATAGTTTCTAGGAGAAATAAAGTTTATATAAAGTTAACCCAGCCCCATTCAAGTTATTTTAGTAATAAAACTGTCACCAAAAAAAAAAAAAAAGTTGAGTAGATAATATAGGATTCCAACTTATATCTTGGGCTAGACTATAAAATGGCAAAAGATTAGATAGTAATGAAACTTTAAAAAAAAAAGACACCAAACTTGGAAAGATTTTGTTTGTTTTCTTTTTTACTTTCTTCTTCCTCCTGAAGCACCATGATTGCAATCATCTAAGGAAAATTCTAGGTGTTATATTTTCCTATTCTGATCTCAGATGCCAGAAATTAGAGACTTTCAGTATTAAACCACATTTTGAAACTTTTAAAGTGACCACAAATTACTTTTCTTGAGTACCCAGATATACAGAAAGTGGAAGCCTATAAAAGCTTATTCTAAAACCTCCAGATTTCAGATCTTTTTTCCCCCAACCCAAAAGGAACAATATGAAGGACAGCTTAGCTTGAGAAATGCCTTAAAGAGAAGGTATTTCATACTGATTTTTCTTACACTGATTCTAAATGTGATACATTTGGTAATTAATCAAAAAACATATTATGAAAGTAACCCATAAAATAAATTATACAAATAACGGTCCTACTTCATTATCTTTAGCAATATTCATAAAGTGTATTTAGAAATTTCCAGAAGAAACTGGACTTCAAAATATTGACCTCCTTACAGAGTAGAAGCATCACTGACCAGCAGAAGGGATTACCTTCTTCCAGACAACTACTTTAGATGCCACCATACAATCTATTACAATTGCCTAAGTAGTTGTCTTTTTCAAAGAGTGAAAAAAATACGTTAGCAAACTAAGAATAGAGGGAAACTTTCTCAACTTGATAAAGAATATCTACAAAAACTAAAACCTACAGTTAACACCATAGTTAGTAGTGAGAAACTCAAAGCTTTCCTATGAAAATCAAGAACAAAGCAAGAATGTCTCTTCTCACCACAGCTTTTCAACATCATACTGGAAGTCCTAGTCATGCAATAAGAAACAAAAAGAAAATAATAGGTATACTGATTGAGGATGAAAAATTAAAACTGTTACTGCTTGCAGATGACATAATTATCTATGTAGAAAATCTAAAAGAATCAACAAAAAAAATCCTGGAACTTATAAGGAATTATAGTAAGGTTATAGGATACAAGGTTAGTATATAAAAATCAATCACTTTTCCTATATAACAGCAACAAAATGTAATTTGACGTTTTAAACACTATGTTGTTCATATTGGCACCTTAAAAATAAATATGTACATATAAATCTAACTAAATATGTTAAGATATGTATGAAGAAAGCAACAAAACAGATTAAGAACTCAAAGAATTAAATAACTGCAGAGATATTTCATGTTCATGGATAGAAAGACAATATTGTCAAGATGTCAGTTTTTCCAAGCTTGATTTGTAGATTAAATGCAATTCGAATAAAAATTCCAGTTATTTTGCTGATAGCAAAACTCTTGTTCGAAATTTTATATGGAGAGGCAAAACACTAAAAATAGCCAAAACAACATTGAGGGAAAAGAACAAAGCTGGATGACTGACATACCCAACTTCAAGACATACTATAAAACTACCATCATCAAGATGGTGTGGCATTGGTAAAGGAATAAATACACTAATGAAACAGAATAGAGGACCTAGAAATAGACCCATATAAGTATAGTAGACTGATCTTTGATAAAGAAGCAAAGGCAATACAATGGAGAAAAGACAGTCTTTACAACAAATAGTGTTGGAACAACTGGACCTCCACATGCAAAAAGATGAAGCTAGATACCCCAGATCTTTGCAATTCTTGGGTCAGGAGATCTTCTTGTGAACACACTCCACCAGGCCATTCAGTCTGACACAGAGCTACTTGGAGTCTCAGCAGAGCAGCTGCTCAGGCACACGCAGACACCTAGGGGCCTTAAATACCCAAGCTTTCCTGGGTATACCCAGGCTTCTCAGCAAAAGCAGGTGAAACTCCAGCAAAGCAAGGGGCAAGGTGGGGGGCCAATTAGCCCCCGTACATACCCTTAGGAAAAGGGCTGAATCCAGGGGCTGAGCAGTGATTGTTTGCAGGCCCTGCTTCCATAGCACCTCACAGGATAAGACCCACTGACTTGGAACTACAGTCAGCCCCAGTAACAGTGTTACATCTCCCCGTGAAGGAGCCCCCAGTGGGAGGGGTAGGCCACCACCTTTGCTATTTCACAGCCTCAGCCACTGTTGCCTTAGGTCTCTAAGGAGTCCGTGGCAACAAAGGACTGGAGTGGTCCCCCAGCACAGCCCAGCAGCACTATGAGAAGTGGTCAGAATGCTTATTTACATGGATGGCAAATCCCGTTTCTCTTCACTGGGCAGAATCTCCCAACCAGGATCCCCAGTTACCTCCACTGGTATTTTCTGGCTAACAGAGGTTTCAAAAATTCCTGGGGGAGAGCTCCCAGAGATCCCAAATAGCAAAGATGGCAGTCCTCTTCTTCCTCTGGAACAGAGCTCCCATTTTGGCTTTCAGGCTTTTGAGAGTGGACCTCCAGCACAGCATAGCTGCTGTATGAAAACATGGTCAGGCTGCTTTTTTAAGTGGGTCCCCAATCCCATTCCTCTTCACTTGGTGGGACTTCCCAACAGGGGTGTCCAGCCACCTCCTACAGGTGTTTCCAGCTTGCAACAGGTCCATACCTCCCTGGGATGGAACTCCCAGAGGGAAGGGCAGGCCACAATCTTTGCTGTTTTGCAGTCTTCACTGTTATGGCAGTGACAGAGGGGCTATTAATACCCTCAGGTACTGGAAAATCCAAGGTGACCAGGGACTGGAGTGGACACCTAGCATACCACAGCAGCCCTGAAGAAAAGTGGTCAGACTGTGATGTGAGTGCCCAATGCCATATCTCCTCACCAGGCAGGTTCTCCAGAGCTAGGCCTCCAGCCACTCCCAGGCAGGGCTATGGAGCCAGTAGAAGTTCTGCAACTGCCTGGACACAGCTCCCAGTGGGAGGGGCAGGTTGCTATCTTCTCTGTCTTGCAGCCCTTGCCCTTCCTGTCTCCAAGCTCAAGAGAGTCTGCAGGGACCAGAGGTTGGTCCAGACCCCCAGCACAGAGCAGCCGCCTCTCAGAAAAATGACCAGACTGTTCTCAACATAGATCTCAGTCCTCATTTCTCCTCATTGGCAGGGCCACCCAACCTGGAACTCCAGCACAACCACCCTGCCCCCACCTCATCACTGCAATCAGAGGCAGCCCAGCATTTCTCTGAGGAGGAAATTTCAGAGTCAACCCACAAACCCTCTGCCATTACAGTTGCAGTGGTATAGCCCTAACAGCCCTCAGAGTGGGAAGGAACAAAGGGCCTAGTCATTACACTGGCACTCTAACACACTGCAGCCACCATATGGAGAGGAGTTCAGCCCCTTTTCCCTTGCTCTTCACCAGGCAAGGGAGCCCCCACCCTTGCCCTTCACCAGGCAAGGCCCTGGTTCATGAATGCAGAACAGTCACCCCACCCACAACTGAGAATACCCACTGATAGTGGCCCAGAGTTTCCCCAGAGAGAAGAATCCAAAGGCAGATGACAGCCCCTCTGCCACTGCTACAGTAGCAGTTCTAGCCCTGCTGCTCTTCGTCTGGGGAAGAAACAAAGAGCCTGAAGCCTACCCCCAAGCTTACAGCACACTATAGTCACTATACGAAGAGGAGCCCAAACTCTCCTCCCTGTGAGCCTTTGACCCCGTGCTACCTAACAAGTGGAACCCCAAGCTCATGCCAGCAGTATAGCTGCCCCACCCCACTTGCTGAACCCTCCCAGTACCAGTGTCTCTGTATGTTTTGGAGGTGGAACCCCCAGGTGCAACTGAAAGCCTCCCTGCCACTGCCTCGACAATAAAACTGCTTTTGCTACACTTGGACTAACAAAGGATCAAAGACCCTAAGTGTCTTATCCACACATCAATAAGCTTCAGCTGACTGAAGGAGAGGAGTCCAGTCCATCTCCCGTGGGTCCCACCTAACCTCTATTTGTAACCAGACAGGGAACCTCCTGGCTTGGGCCCATAGCACAGACCCTTCATACTTGGCTGATTACACTGAGCAATTGCTGACCTGCATCTCTCTGGAGTGAAACCCCCAGGAGACAAGCAAAAGACCCTTGGCCACAACCACCGCTAAGGTCCCTTCCACTGCTGCCTCCGACCTGGGGAAGGAACATAAACCCTGAGATCGCCCCAGAGCTGCACTGGGCAACCCAAGAGTGCCAAGCCATAATCTACATCCAGTATTCAAGTGGAAGAAGAACTCACACTTTTGCAGCATTGAGAGGGAGCACGGTTGCAACTTGGAAGAAATATAGAAGAACCATGATTAAGGAAGAGCCCTACCGACTGACCACTACACCTAAGCACCACCTACTGGCTTACATCCCAAAGCTTCAACACCAAAACTACCTCACTAACATACCCCCATGAAACCAAGGACAAGAAGTCAGCTACACTGCACAAAGCCATGGTGCAGTGAAAACATCCAGAAAAAAAAAAAAAAACTCTATTGGTTATACTTAATCTACTCTGCAGTGAAAGAAACAGCCACATGCAGAAAGGAGAAAGAACCAATGCAAGAACTCAAGCAACTCAAATGACCAGGGCGTCATATGTCTTCCAAATGACTGGACCAGTACTCCAACAGGAGTTCTTAACCAGGCTGAACAGGCTGGAATAATAGAAATAGAATTCAGAAATGGATAGAAATGAGTATCATCAAGATTCAAGAGAATGGCAAAACCCAATCCAAGGAAACTAAGAATCACAATAAAACTATACAGGAGCTGAAGGACAAAATAGCTCGTATTTGAAAGAACCTAATGGATCTGACAGAGCTAAAAAACACAATACAAGAATATCACAATGCATTCACAAGTATTAACAGCTGAATAGACCAGGCCAAGGGAAGAATCTCAGAACCTGAAGACTAGCTCTCTGAAATAAGATAGTCAGATAAAAATAAAGAAAAAAGAATGAAAATAAATGAACAAAACCTTCTAAAAATATGGGATCATGTAAAAAGGCCAAATCTACAAATCACTGGCATCCCTAAAAAGGAGGGGAGAAAGTAGCTTGGAAAACATTTCAGGATATCATTCATGAAAACTTCCCCAACCTTGTTAGAGAGGCCAACAGTCAAATTCAGGAAATACAAAGAACCCCTGCAAGATTCTATACAAGAAGATTATCCCCGAGACACATCAGACTTTCCAAGGTCAACATGAAAGAAAGAATGTTAAAGGCAGCTAAAGAGAAAGGGCAGGTCACCCACAAAGGGAACCCCATCAAGCTCACAACAGTGGACCTCTCAGCTGAAACGCTACAAACCAGAAGAGACTGGGGGCCTATATTCAACATTCTTACAGAAAAATAATCTTCAAACAAGAATTTTATATCCAGCAAAACTAAGCTTTCTAAGTGAAAGAGAAAAAAGATCATTTTCAGATAAGCAAATATTGTTGGAGTTGGTTACCACCGAACCTGCCTTACAGGAGATCTTGAAAGGAGTGCTAAATATAGAAGGGAAAGATAACTACAAGCTAATACAAAAACAGAAAAAAAACACTTAAATACACAGACCAGTGACACTATAAAGCAATCACACAAACAAGCCAGCATAATAACAAGCTAACAGCACAATAACATGATCAAATTCATATATATCAATACTAACCTTGAATGTAAATGGGCTAAATGCCACACTTAAAAGGCACAGAGTGGCAAGCTGGAGGAAAAAAAAAATAAAAAAAGCAAGACCCAATGGTATGCTGTCTTCAGGTGACCCATTTCAAACATAATGACAACCATAGGCTCAAAATAAAGGGATGGAGAAAAATCAACCAAGGAAATGGAAATCAGAAAAAAACAGGGGTTGCAATCCTAATTTCAAACAAAACAGAATTTAAACCAACCATGATCAAAAAAGACAAACGGGGCATTACATAATGATAAAGGGTTCAATTCAACAAGAAGACCTAACTGTTCTAAATATATATGCACCCAATACAGGAGCAACAAGATTTATAAAGCAAGTTCTTAGAGACCTACAAAGAGATGTAGATTCCCACACAATAATAGTGGGAGACTTCAACACTCCACTGACAATATTAGACAGATCCTTGAGGAAGAAAATTAACAAAGATATTGAGGTCTGAACTCAGCATTGTACCAAATGGATCTGATAGACCTCTACAAAACTCTCCATCCCCCCAAAAAAACTGTCTATACATTCTTCTCATCACCACAAGGCACATACTCTAAAATCCACCACGTAATTGAACATAAAACCATCCTCAGCAAAGGCAAAAGAACTGAAATCATATCAAACACACTCTCAGACCACAGCCCAATAAAAATAGAAGACTAAGAAAATTTATCAAAACCATGCAATTACATAGAAATTAAACAACATGTCCCTGAATGACTTTTGGATAAATAATTGAATTAAGTCAGAAATCAAAAGTTCTTTGAAACTAATGAGAACACAGATAGAATATACCAGAATCTTTGGGACAGAGCTAAGGCAGTGTTAAGATGATAGAATTAAATGCCCACATCAAAAAGTTAGAAAGATCTCAAATTAATTTAACAGCACAACTGAAAGAATTAGAGAACCAAGAACAAATCAACCCCATATCTAGCAGAAAACAAATCATAACCAAAATCAGAGCTGAAATGAAGGAGACTGAGACACAAAGAAACATTCAAAAGAACAACAAATCCAGGAGTTGGTTTTTTGAAAAAAAAATTAATAAAATAGGCTGCTAGCTAGACTAATAAAGAAGTAAAGAGAGAAGATCCAAATAAACACATTAGAAATGACAAAGGGGAGTTATCATTGACCTCATAGAAATACAAATATCCATCAGAGAATATTATGAGTATGTCTATGCACACAAACTAGAAAACCTAAAAAAAAAGGATAAATTCCTAGACACATAAACTCTTCTAAGACTGAATCAGGAAGAAATTGATTCCCTGAACAGGCCAATAACAAGCTCCTAAATTGAATCAGTAATAAATACCCTATCAAGCAAAAAAAAAAAAAAAAAAAAAAAGCCCAGGACCAGACAGATTCATAGACAAAAACTACCAGATATATGATGAGCTGGTACCATTCCTGCAGACACTATTTCAAAAAATTGAGGAGGAGAGACTCCTCCTTAACTCATTCTACGAGGCCAGCATCATTCTCATACCAAAAACTGGCAGAGACACAACAAAAAAGTTAACTTCAAGCCAATATCCCTGATGAACATAAATTTTTAAATTCTCAAAAATAAAATACTTGCAAACCAAATCCATCAGCATATCAAAAGCTAATCCACCACGAATCAAGTAGACTTCATCCCTGGGATACAAGATTGGTTTGACATACAAAATTAATAAATGTGATTCATCACATAAACAGAACTAAAGACAAAAACCCACATAACTACCTCAATAGATGCATAAAAGGCTTTTGAAAAAATTCAACACTCCTTCATGTTAAAAATTCAATAAACTAGGTGTCGAGTGGGCCATATGTAAAAATAATAAGAGTCATCTATGCAAACCCATAGCCAACATCATACTGCATAGGTAAAACTGGAAGCATTCCCCCTTGTAAACCAGCACAAGATAAGGATGCTCTTTCTCACCACTCCTATTCAACATACCATTAGAAGTCCTGAACAGAGCAATCAGCCAAGGGAAAGAAATAAAGGTATTCAAATAGAAAGAGAGGAAGTCAAACTATCCCTGTTTGCAGATGACATGACTGTAAATCTAGAAAACTTCATAGTCTTGGCCCAAAAGTTCTTTCAGCTGATAAACAACTTTAGCAAAGTTTCAGGATACAAAATCAATGTATAAAGCCCACTAGCATTTATATACACCAACAACACCCACATTCAGAGCCAAATTAGGAAGGTAATCCCATTCACAACTGCCACAAAAAGAATAAAATACCTAGGAATACAGCTAACCAGGGAAGTGAAAGATCTCTACAATGAAAACTACAAAACCCTGTTCAAAGAAATCAGAGAAGACACAAACAACTGGAAAAACATCTCAGGCTCATGGAAAAGAAGAATCAATATCATTAAAATGGCTATACTGCCTAAAGTAATTTACAGATTCAACGATAATCCTGTTAAACTACCAATGACATTCTTCACAGAACTAGAAAAAAAAAACTATTTTAAAATCCATAGAGAGCCAAAAAAGAACCCAAATAGCCAAGGCAATCCTAAGCAAAAAGAACAAAGCTGGAGGTATCACATTACCCAATTTCAAACCATACCATAACACTACAGTGACCAAAACAACATGGTACTAGTACAGAAACAGACACATAGACCAATGGAACAGAATAGAGAGTCCAGAAATAAGGATGCACACCTATGACCATATGATCTTTGACAAAGCTGACAAGAACAAGCAATGTAGAAAAGACTCCCTATTCAATAAATGGTGCTGAAATAACTGGCTAGCCATATGCAGAAGATTGAAACTGGAATACTTTTTTACACCATATACAAAAATTAACTCAATATGGATTAAAGGCTTAAATGTAAAACCAAAAACTATAAAAACCCTGGAAGACCACTTAGGCAATAGGAATCCTGGACATAAGAATAGGCAAAGATTTCATGACAAAGACACCAAAAGCAATGGCAACAAAAGTAAAAATTGACAAATGGAAACTAATTAACTAAAGAGCTTCTGCACAGTAAAAGAAACTGTCAACAGAGTAAACAGACAACTTACAGAATAGGAGAAAACTTTTGCAAACCATGCATCTGAAAAAAGTCTAATATCCAGCATCTCTAAGGAACTTAAGCAAATTTACCAGAGAAAAACAACCCCATTAAAAAGTGGGCAAAGAACATAACAGACAATTTTCAAAAAAAGACATACGTGTAGCCAAGAAGTATATTTAAAAAAACTCAACATCACTGATCATTAGAGAAATGCAAATCAAAACCACAATGAGATACCATCTCACAACAGTCAGAATGGCTATTACTAAAAGTCAAAACCACAATGAGATACCATCTCACAACAGTCAGAATGGCTATTACTAAAAAGTCAAAACAATAACAGATGCTGCCAAGGTTGCTGACAAAAGATCACACCTATACACAGTTGGTGAGAGTGTAAACTATTTCAACCATGTGGAAAGCAGTATGGTGATTCCTCAAAAAGCTAACAACAGAACTACCATTCAACCCAGCAATCCCATCACTGGGTATATACCCAGAAGAATATAAATCATTCTACCATAAAGATGCATGCACAGGAATCTTTATTGCAGCTCTATTCACAGTAGCAAAGACCTGGAATCAACCTAAATGCCCATCAATGACAGACTGAATAAAGAAAATGTGGCACATATACACCATGGATTATTATGCAGCCATAAAAGAGAGTGAGATCACATCTTTTTCAGGAACATAAATGGAGCTGGAGGCTATTATCCTTTGCAAAATAACACACAACAGAAAACCAAATACCACATGTTCTCACTTAGAAGTGGAAGCTAAATGATGAGAACGCATGAACACAAAGAAAGGAACAACAGACACGGGGGCCTACTTGAGGGTAGAGGGTGGGAGGAGGGAGAGAAGCAGAAACAATAACTATTGGGCACTAGGCTTAGTATCTGGGTGATGAAATAGTCTATGCAACAAAACCCTGTGACACGAGTTTACCTATATAACAAACCTACACACACACCCCCAACCTAAAATAAAAGTTAAAAAAAAAACTAAACAATAAGAAAACAAACAACCACAACAAACAATTTTAAAATGGGACAAAGATATTAACAAATACCTCACCAAAGAAGATATAGAAATGAAAATTAAATATATGAAAAGATGCTCCACATTATATGTTATCAGAGAAATGTAACTTAATACCACTACACACCTATTAGAATGACCAAAATTCAGAACACTGATAACTCAAAATGCTGATGAGGACATAGAGCAACAGGAACTCTCATTTACTGCTAGTGGAAATGCAAAATGGTACAGCCACTTTGGAAAACAGTTTGTGAGTTTCTTACAAAAGTAACATATTCTTCCTATATAATCCAGCAATCACTCTCCTTGACATATACCCAAAAAAGTTGAAAATATATCCTCATAAGAACCTGCACATAGATGTTTATGTCAGCTTCATTCATAATTGCCAAAACTTGGAAACAACCAAGATGTTCTTCACTAGGTGCATAAATTAACTGTGGCATATTCAGCAGAAAATATTATTTAGCAGTAAAAAGATGGAAGCTATCAAACCATGAAGAGACATGGAGAAAAGTTAAATGCATATTACTAAGTGAAAGAAGCCATTGTGAAAAGGCTACTTACTATATATTTTCAGCCATGTAAAATTCTGGCAAAGGCAAAACCATAGAGGCGTAAAAGGTCAGTGGTTGCCAGGAGTCAGGGGAATGAGAGGGATAACTGGGCAAAACACAGGATTTTTAGGGCACTGAAAATATTATGTTTGATACCTAATGGTGGATATATGTCATTATACATTTGTCAAATCCCATGAAATATAGCAAGAGTGAACATAGTATAAACTATGAATATTGGGTTATAATGAGGTGTCAATGTAGTTTCATCATTTGTAACAAATGTACCACTCTAATGGAGGCTGTTAATAATGCGTGCTATGGTTTGAATGTGTCTCCCAAATTCTATGTGTTGAAAACTTGATCCCAATGCAACAGTGTTGGGAGATGGGGCCTAATGAACGGTCATTAGGACATGAGGGCCAAGTGAATGAATTAATGCCATTATCAATCACAGGAGTGGGTCAGTTATCACGAGAGTAGGTTCATTATAAAAGGTAGACAGAGAGAATTTTCCCCCCTCTTTCTCTTTCTCACTCTCTCTTTGTCTCTCTCCCTCCCTTTCTTTGTCCTTCTGTCATGGGATGATGCAGCAAGAAGTCCCTCATCCAATGCCAGCTCCTTGATCTTGGACTTCTGAGCCTGCAGACCTGTGAAAAATAAATTTCTGCTCATTATAAATCATTATAAATTACTCTGCCTATGGTATTCTTATATATGGTGTGGTATATGGTATTCTTATATTATGGTATTCTTACATAGCAGCACAAAACAGACTGAGACAATGAAGGAGGCTGTGTATATGTAGGAGCAGGGAAGAAATATGAAATCTCTGTATCTTCTACTCAATTTTGCGGTGAATTTAAAACTTCTCTGAAAAACGAATGCAAATAAATAAATAACTTTAAAAAATATATAAGGGCAAGATGGCCAAATAGGAACAGCTCCAGTCTGCAGCTTCCAGTGAGATCGACACAGAAGGTGGGTGATTTCTGCATTTCCAATTCAGGTACATGTTTCTTCTCATTGGGAATGGTTGGACAGTGGGTGCAGCCCATGGAGGGTGAGCCAAAGCAGGGTGGGGTGTCTCCTCACCCGGGAAGCACAAGGGGTCAGAGAATTATCTCCCCTACCCAAGGGAAGTCGTGAGGGACTGTGCCTGAGGAACAGTGCACTCCAGCCAAGATACTGCACTTTTTCCATGGTTTTTGCAACCCACAGACCAGGAGATTCCCTCTGGTGCCTATGCTACCAGGGCCCGGGGTTTCAAGCACAAAACTGGGTGGCTTCAGGAGTTTTTTTCCATACCCCAGTGGTGCCTGGAACGCCAGCGAGACAGAACAGTTCACTCCCCTGGAAAGAGAGCTGAAGCCAGGGAGCCAAGTGGTCTGACTCGGTGGGTCCCACCACCAGAAAGCCCAGCAAGCTCAGATCCACTGGCTTGAAATTCTTGCTGCCAGCACAGCAGTCTGAGGTCGTCCTAGGAGGCTTAAGCTTGGTTGGGGGAGGGGTGTCTGCCATTGCTGAGGCTTGAGTAGGCAGTTTTACCCTCAAAGTGTAAACAAGGCTGCCAGGAAGTTCGAACTGGGCGCAGCCCACTGCAGCTCACCAACGCCGCTGTGGCCAGACTCCCTCTCTAGTTTCCTCCTTTCTGGGTAGGGAATTTCTGAAAAAAAGGCAGCAGCCCCATTTAGGGGCTTATAGATAAAACCCACATCTCCCTGGGACAGAGCACCTGGGGGAAGAAGTAGCTGTGGGTGCAGCTTCAGCAGACTTAAACATCCCTGCCTGATGTCTCCGAAGAGAGCAGTGGATCTCCAGCAGTGTTCAAGCTCTGCTAAGGGTCAGACTGCCTCCTCAAGTGGGTCCCTGACCCTGACCCCTGTGTATCCTGACTGAGAGACACCTCCCAGTAGGGGTTGACAGACACCTCATACAGGAAAGCTCTGGCTGGCACCTGGCAGGTGCCCCTCTGGGAAGAAACTTCCAGAGGAAAGATCAGGCAGTAATCTGCAGCCTCCATTGGTGATACCCAGGCAAACAGGATCTGGAGTGGACCTCCAGCAAACTCCAGCAGACCTGCAGCAGAAGAGCCTGACTGTTAGAAGGAAAACTAACAAGCAGAAAGGAATAGCATGTCCACTCAGAGACCCCATCCAAAAGTCACCAACGTCAAAGACCAAGGTAGATAAATCCATGAAGATGGGGAGAAACCAGCAGAAAAAGGCTGAAAATTCAAAAAACCAGAACACCTCTTCTCCTCCAAAGGATCACAACTCTTCGCCAGCAAGGGAACAAAACTGGACAGAGAATGAGTTTGACAAGTTGACAGAAGTAGGCTTCAGAAGGTGGGTAATAACAAACTTCTCCGAGCTAAAGGAGCACATTCTAAAGCAATGCAAGGAAGCTAAGAACTTTGAAAAAAGGTTAGACAAATTGCTAACTAGAATAACCAGTTTAGAGAAGAACATAAATGACCTGATGTAGCTGAAAAACACAGCATGAAAACTTTATGAAGCATACACAAGTATCAATAGCCAAATCGATCAAGCAGAAGAAAGGGTATCAGAGATTGAAGATAAACTTAATGAAATAGAGCAAGAAGACCAGATTAGAGAAAAAAGAATGAAAGGAAACAAACAAAGCTTCCAATAAATATGGGACTATATGAAAAGACCACATCTACATTTGATTGTTGTACCTGAAAGTGACAGGGAGAATGGAACCAAGTTGGAAAACATTCGAGTATATTATCCAGGAGAACTTCCCCGACCTAGGGAGACAGGCCAACATTCAAATTCAGGAAATACAGAGAACACCACAAAGATACTCCTTGAGAAGAGCAACCCCAAGACATACAATCGTCAGATTCACCAAGATTGAAATGAAGGAAAAAATGTTAAGGGCAGCCAGAGAGAAATGCCAGATTACCCACAAAGGGAAGCCCATCAGACTAACAGCAGATCTCTCTGCAGAAACCCTACAAGCCAGAAGAGAGTGGGGGCCAATATTCAACATTCTGAAAGAAAGAATTTTCAACCCAGATTTTCATATCCAGTCAAACTAAGTTTCATAAGTGAAGGAGAAATAAAATCTTTTACAGACAAGCAAATGCTGAGAGATTTTGTCACCACCAGGCCTGCCTTACAAGAGCTCCTGAAGGAAGCACTAAACATGGAAAGGAACAACCAGTACCAGCCACTGCAAAAATATACCAAATTGTAAAGACCATTGACACTATGAAGAAACTACATCAACTAACGGGCAAAATAACCAGCTAGCATCATAATGGCAGGATTAAATTCACACATAACAATATTAACCTTAAATGTAAATGGGCTAAATGCCCCAATTAAAAGACACAGACTGGAAAACTGGAATAGAGTCAAGCCCCATCGGTGTGCTATATTCAGGAGACCCATCTCATGTGCAAAGACACACATAGGCTCGAAATAAAGGAATGGAGAAATAGTTACCAAGCAAATGGAAAACAAAAAAAAAAGCAGGGGTTGCAATCCTAGTCTCTGATAAAACAGACTTTAAACCAACAAAGATCAAAAGAGACAAAAAAGGGCATTACATAATAGTAAAGGGATCAATGCAACAAGAAGAGCTAACTATCCTAAATACATATGCATCCAATACAGGAGCACCCAGATTCATAAAGCAAGTTCTTAGAGACCTACAAAGAGACTTATACTCCCACACAACAATAGTGGGACACTTTAGCAACCCACTGTCAATAGTAGACAGATCAACAAGACAGAAAATTAACAAGAATATTCAGAACTTGAACTCAGCTCTGGACCAAGTGGACCTAAGGGATATCTACAGAACTCTCCACCCCAAATCAAAAGAATATACATTATTCTCAGCAACTCATCACACTTATTCTAAAATTGACCACATAACTGGAAGTAAAACACTCCTCAGCAAATGCAAAAGAACGAAAATCGTAACAGTCTCTCAGACCACAGTGCAATCAAATTAGAACTCAGGATTAAGAAACACACTCGCACTTTGGGAGGCTGAGGCGGATGGATCATGAGGTCAGGAGATCCAGACCCTCCTGGCAAACACGGTGAAACCCCATCTCTGCTAAAAATACAAGAAATTAGCCAGGCATGGTGGAGGGCACCTGTAGTCCCAGCTACTCGGGAGGCCGAGGCAGGAGAATAGCGTGAACCCGGGAGGCGCAGCTTGGAGCTTGCAGTGAGCCAAGATCGCGCCTCTGAACTCCAGCCTGGGAGACAGAGGGAGACTCCGTCAAAAAAAAAAAAAGAAAGAAAGAAAGAAAGAAAAAAGAAACACACTCAAAACCACACAACTACATGGAAACTGAACAACCTGCTCCTGAGTGACTACTGGGTAAATAACAAGAAGGCAGAAATAAAGATGTTCTTTGAAACCAATGAGAACAAAGACACAACATACCAGAATCTCTGTGACACATTTAAAGCACCATGTAGAGGGAAATTTATAGCACTAAATGCCCACAAAAGAAAGCAGAAAACATCTAAAATTGACACCCTAACATCAAAAAAGAACTAGAGAAACAAAAGCAAACAAATTCAAAAGCTAGCAGAAGGCAAGAAATAACAAAGATTAGAGCAGAACTAAAGGAGACAGAGACACAAAAAACCGTTTAAAAAATCAATGAATCCAGGAGCTAGTTTTTTTTTAAAGATCAACAAAATAGACGGCTAGCCAGAATAAAAGAGAGAAGAATCAAATAGATGCAATAAAAAATGATAAAGTGGATATCACTACTGATCCCACAGAAATACAAACTACCATCAGAAAATATATAAACACCTCTACACAAATAAACTAGAAAATCTAGAAGAAATGGATAAATTCCTGGACACATATACCCTCCTAAGTCTAAACCAGGAAGAAGTCGAATCCCTGAATAGACCAATAACAAGTTCTGAAATTGAGGCAGTAATTAATAGCCAACCAACCAAAAAATGTCCAGGACCAGACGGATTCACAGCTGAATTCTACCAGAGGTACAAAGAGGAGCTAGTACCATTTCTTCTGAAACTACTCCTAACAATAGAAAAAAAAGGAATTCCCCCCTAACTCATTTTATGAGGCCAGCATCATCCTGATACCAAAACCTGGCAGAGACACAACAAAAAAGAAAATTTCAGGCCAATATCCCTGATGAACATCGATGTGAAAATCCTCAATAAAATACCGGCAAACCAAATCCAGCAGCATGTTAAAAAGCTAGCTAACACGATGAAATCCAGCCTCTAATAAAAATACAAAACATTAGCCGGACGTGGTGGCACCTGCCTGTAGTCCCAGCTACTAGGGAGGCTGAGGCAGGAGAATTAGTTGAACCCAGGAGGCAGAGGTTACGGTGAGCTGAGATCGCACCATTGCACTCCAGCCTGCATGACAGAGGCACTCCGGAAAAAAAAAAAAAAAAAAAAAACCTTATCCACCACGATCAATTTGGCTTCATACCTGGGATGCAAGGCTGGTGTTTGACATATGCAAATCAATAAACGAATTCCATCAGATAAACACAACCAATGAAAAAAACCACATGATTATCTCAATAGATGCAGAAAAGGCCTTCCACAAAATTCAACAGCCTTTCATGCTAAAAACTCTCAATAAACTAGGTATTAATGGAATGTATCTCAAAATAATAAGAGATATTTATGACAAACCCACAGCCAATATCATACTAAATGGGCAAAAACTGGAAGCATTCCCTTTGAAAACCAGCACAAGACAAGGATGCCCTCTCTCACCACTCCTATTCAACATAGTATTGGAAGTTCTGGCCAGGGCAATCAGGCAAGAGAAAGAAATAAAGGGTATTCAAATAGGAAAAGAGGAAGTCAAATTGTCTCTGTTTGCAGATGACATGAGTGTATATTTAGAAAACCCCATCATCTCAGCCCAAAATCTCCTTAAGCTGATAAGCAATTTCAGCAAAGTCTCAGGATACAAAGTCAATGTGCAAAAATCACAAACATTCCTATACACCAATAACAGACAAACAGAGAGTCAAATCATGAGTGAATTCCTATTCACAATTGCTACAAAGAGAATAAAATACCTAGGAATTCAACTTACAAGGGATGTGAAAGACCTCTTCAAGGAGAACTACAAACCACCGCTCAAGGAAATAAGAGAGGACACAAATAAATGGAAAAACATTCCATGCTAATGGATAGGAAGAATCAATATCATGAAAATGGCCATACTGCCCAAAGTAATTTATAGATTCAATGCTATCCCCATCAAGCTACCATTGACTTTCTTCATAGAATTGGAAAAATCTACTTTAAACTTCATATGGAACCAAAAAAGAACCCACATAGCAAAGACAAGCCTAAGCAAAAAGAACAAAGCTGGAGGCATCACACTACCTGACTTCAAACTATACTACAAGGCTACAGTAACCAAAACAGGATGGTACTGGTACCAAAACAGGATGGTACTGGTACCAAAACAGGATGGTACTGGTACCAAAACAGAGATATAGACCAGTGGAACAGAACAGAGGCCTCAGAAATAACACCACACATCTACAACCATCTGATCTTTGACAAACCTGACAAAAACAAGCAATGGGGAGAGGGTTCCCTATTTAATAAATGGTGTTGGGAAAACTGGCTAGCCATATGCAGAAAACTGAAACTGGGCCCCTTCCTTTCACCTTATACAAAAACTAACTCAAGATGGATTAAAGACTTAAATGTAAGACCTATAACCATAAAAATCCTAGAAGAAAACCTAGGCAATACCATTCAGGACATAGTCATGGGCAAAGACTTCATGTCTAAAACACCAAAAACAATGGCAACAAAAGCCAAAATTGACAAATGAGATCTAACCAAACTAGACAGTTTCTGCACAGCAAAAGAAACTATCATCAGAGTGAACAGGCAACCTAGAGAATGGGAGAAAAATTTTGCCATCTATCTATCTGACAAAGGGCTAATATCCAGATTCTCCAAAAACTTAAACAACTTACAAGGAAAAAACAAACAACCCCATCAAAAAGTGAGTGAAGGATATGAACAAACACTTCTCAAAGAAGACACTTAGGCAGCCAACAAATATATGAAAAAAAGCTCATCATCCCTGGTCATTAGAGAAAGGCAAATCAAAACCACAATGAGATACCATCTCATGTCAGTTAGAATGGCAATCATTAAAAAGTCAGGAAACAACAGATGCTGGAAAGGACATGGAGAAATAGGAATGCTTTTACACTGTTGGTGGGAGTGTAAAATAGTTCAACCATTGTGGAAGACAGTGTGGTGATTCCTCGAGGATCTAGAACTAGAAATACCATTTGACCCAGCAATCCCAATACTGGGTATATACCCAAAGGATTATAAATCATTCTCCTATAAAGACATATGCACACATATGTTTATTGAGGCACTATTGATAATAGCAAAGACTTGGAACCAACCCAAACATCCATCAGTGATAGACTGGATAAAGAAAATGTGGCATATATACACCATGGAATACCATGCAGCCATAAAAAAGGATGAGTTCACGTCCTTTGCAGGGACACGAATGAAGCTGGAAACCATCATTCTCAGCAAACTAACACAAGAACAGAAAACCAAACACCACAAATTCTCATTCATAAGTGGGAATTGAACAATTAGAACACATAGACACAGGGAGGGGAACATCACACACTGGGGCCTGTTGGATTGGGGGCTAGCGGAGTGATAGCATTAGAAGAAATAGCTAATGTAGGTGACGGGTTGATGGGTGCAGCAAACCATCATGACACGTGTATGCCTATGTAACAAAACTGCACATTCTGCACATGTACCCCAGAACTTAAAGTATAATAATAAAAAGAAGATATAAGGGCTATGTCCATATTCTAACCTATCTAATCTGTGAATGTAAGTTTATTTGGGGAAAAATGATTTTTTCAGATATACTTAAATAAGGGTTTTAAGATGAGATCATTTTAGATTATCCAGGTAGGCCCTAAATCCAATGACAAAGTGTCCTTATAAGAAACAGAAGAGAAGAAAACACAGACAGAGAGAAGAAGGTAACATAAATATCATGGTAGAAACTGAAGTTTTGCAACCACAAGTTAAAGAACAACTGGAGCCATCAGAAATTGGAAAAGACATGGAAGGATTTTCTCCCAAAGTCTTTGGAAGGAACATCGTCCTGCCAACATCTGGATTTCGACTTACCGCCTCCAGAACTGTGAGAAAATAAATTTGTTATTTTAAACCAACAAGTTTGTGATTTTTTGCTGAAGCAGCAGCAGCCACAGGAAGCTTATATACCAGTGTAGTAGAATAATGTAGATTAAGCAAATTTCAAAGACTCAAGCCTCTCTTCACTTTGCACTCAGTAAATCCCCTTGCACCATCTCCACAGCCAGCCATGCCTAGGCAAGTCTTCTTCACAATGCATCACTCCGACTCTGCCTCCACCATCACATTTCCTTCTCTGGCTCTTCTGCCTTCGTTTTTCACTTATAAGTATCCTTGCAATTACAATCAGCCCACCCAGATAATCCAGTATAATCTCCCTATTCGAGACCCTTACCTTAATTATGTCTGCAAAGCCCCTTATGTAACATATTCACAGGCTGTGGGGATTAGAATGGGGATATCTTTGGTGAGGATGTTCATTATTCTGCCTACCACACATAGCTAAACAAGTGCCCATGGATGAACCTACCACAAAACCAAATGACAAGAATTGACAGAAACCAGAAAATACAAAATAAAAGCGATAGAGAGAGAGGTAAAATCGATAACTATGAAGCCTGTATGCCATCAGCATCTAAAAAGAGAAGGCAAAATAGGATGTCTGAAAGGAAAATAAGATGTCTGATGGACATGAGCACATGAGATCTCCAAAATCCCCAATACTTACTCACTAGAAAGGGCTATGGACTAATTTGAGAACAGAAGCTGACCTGAGAGAGTTTCCAGTTGCAGAGGAAGGGCAAGGAGTACACAGTAAAGTATGAAGAAGCTGAATCAGTTCAGACTGTATAAGCTCTTAAAACTAACAAACTAAAGTATCCATTCAAGATAAAGCCCAGCAGCTAAGAGAAACCCTTAAGAGTCTATTCAAATACAACAGAACAAAGAAACAGGAGGAAAAAAAAGAGGTAGTGGTATAGGGGAAGAAGACCTCAGAAAGTAGAAAACTGTGTATTAATTACTTTGTGCAAACAACAGGAAAGGAAGCTTTTGAGTCATGATGTTTGAAAAGCTATCTTGGCCAATTCCATCATCCTGAAAATACAGAGAAACTCATTTCACTTAAGATGAGTCATAAACAATAATTGTGGTCCAATCTCATCAAAAGTTATAATTTTTTAAAGGGAATAAAGAGGAGAATAACATCCTGTCAGACAACAAAAGCGCTCCTAAGAGTCATGTCTACAAAACAGATGAAAACTGCAAACTAACATTTCAAAATGTGCTAGAAATATATTAAGAAATGGAAGCATTGAAAGAACAACATATGGGATCATCAGATACCTAAGCAAATATGACATAGAACTCAGAAAAGAATTAGATGTGAAATAAAATATAATTTCAGTAATTAAGACTAAACCAGAACAAAATAATGGATAAAAAAGATACAGGATGTGTTCATATAAATAGAAGGTGAACAAAACAAAAATTTTTAACTAAAAAATAAAAAGCTTAGAAACTTCAATGTCAGTCTAAATGGAATGACAGAGACCAGTTTTACTATCACATATGCACAAGTATTGATAAACAAAGGAAAAAATATATGAAACATTGCTTAGCAAGACACTAGATATCAGGCAATGAAAGACAGTCATCCCTGAAAAATGGGAAACAAACAGGATGCTCTACAATTGCACCAGTGATCTGCCAAAGACAGTTTCCAGGCCATAGTGCAGGTTGGGAGAATTCAGGAAGAGCATATGGTTCTTCTGGAGTTGAACAGAGCTGAAAATCTAGAAAGGTCAAGGCAGCTATAGTTTGCAGGACAGAGTATTAGACAGGAGAGAAGAAAGAGGGTGGAAAAGATGAAGAGATTTGCAGAGAGTCCCATTGAGTCTTCATCTGCATACTGATCAACCCATGCATGTGAAAAAAACTACCCAAACCAGGAAAAGAGCCACCTAAAATGACCAGAAAACTCTTGGGGAATAGTTTCTATTTCCACCAGTAGGGAATTTAACAATCCACAGGGCATTTAGTAGAGTACTCAAAAGAGTTTTGCCACAGTACTGGCAAAAACTAACCCTATACAAAATGCTGTTCTGGTCTCACAAACAAACAAAAACACTTAAATTTAGGACCAGAAAGGATTCAACATTCTAAAAAATTAAATCATGTTATGAAGCAAGAGTCAATAATATAATATTACAAGCAATATTGTAATATCAATATAATAAAATAATAGTCAATAATATAATAGTACAAAAATACCCAGCACAAAAAAAGTAAAATGTACAATGTCTGCCATTCAATCATCCAACCACCAGACATCAGAAGATAGAGGAAAGTATGACCCACAATATGGAGGAAAAAAATCAAACAAAACTGATCCATAAATGACTACAGATAGAATTAATAGACAAAGACATTAAAAATTACTATCCAGTGCTGTGCTGGAGTCATAGCACACTGGTCCATGAGAGCTAATTATTCAATCATTCCCAATTGTTGGGAAATTTGCAAGCCAGTTGCTAAACATAGTCGTTATTTTTAATTAAATTATATAAATGTATAGTGAAATAATTTATATTAAAACAAAGCTAATAAATACTAAAACTCATAACTTGCCAACTGTTTTACTACATTTTAGTATAATTTATGCTTCTGTGGTTACTCAAGGTTATGGTACTCTAGGGTGAAGATACTATGTAATAGTGTGATACTACCATGCATTTTCTCCCAAATGTACATTCAGTGATTACATGTTGGTTTCTTGAATTCAGCTATTGTGAGATTACTTAAAGCACAGAAACTGGCAAATGCAACACATAAGAGCTGTATTATTTTGTTTTCCCAGAGCTAGTTTTCAAATATTTTCCAGCACATCATAAATTATAATTGTATTGCTATGTTCAAGGAGCTAAAGGAAACATAGAACACATTCAGTAGAGACATGAAAGATATTTTAAAAACACCCAAATGTAACTTTGAGAGACAAAATATGTGAGATAAAGAAGATTACACTATAAACTGAATAGATATAAAAGCAGATTAGACTTTGAAGAAGAAAATATTAGTGAAATGGAAAACAATAGAAACTATCCAAAATAAAGCACATAGAGAAAAATATATTTTAAAAATTAAAAACTACAATATCTGTGAGCTTCAGACCAACTTCAAGTGATCTAATACATGTGTAATTAGACATACATATGACATACAGAGAAGAAACAAAAAGGTTTTGGAAAAGTAGTGACCAAAAAATTGTCCAAATTTGATAAAAACTGAAACTCACAGGTCAGAGAACCTCAGTGAATCCCACGTACATGAAACATTGATAAAACTACACCAAGGTACATAGTGATCAAATTGCTTAAATTCAGTGATAAAGATAAAATATTAAAAGCAGCCAAGGAAAATGGCAGCACATTATGTACAAAAGAGCTGAATGCCATCAGAAATAAAGCAAGCCAGAAGATAGCAGAGCAATGTCTTTCAAACACTGAGTAGAGCAAGATGGTGGAACAGAAGGCTTCACTAATCAGGCTGCAGTAAGGACACCAAGTTAACAACTATCTACATAGAAGAAAAAACACCTTCATAAGAACCAAAAATTATGTGAGCACTCACAGTACCTGGTTTTAACTTCATATCACTGAAAAAGGCACTGAAGAGACAGGAAAAACAGTCCTGAATCACCAAGTCTACCCCTCCCATCACCACCCCCAACTCTCCCCACCACCCCGCATCCCCACCCTCCACCCCAGCAGTGGTGGCGTGGCACAGGGAGCATTTCTGAGTGTCAAGGAAGGTAGAGCACAGCAATTATGAGGCATTGAATATAGTGCTATTCTGTTAAAGCAGAAAGGAAAACCAGACCAAACTCAGCTGATGCCGGCCCGTGGAGAGAGCATTTAAATCAACCCTAGCCGGAGGGGAATCACCGATCCGAGAGGTCCAAATTGAGAGCCTGCAAACTTTGCCACCAAGGGCTACAAGCACTCTGTGTCTCCAAGTAAACTTGAAAGGCATTCTAGGCCATAATGACTGCAACTCTTAGGTGAGTCCTAGTGCTGAACTAGGCCCAGAAACAGTGGACTGAAGGTGCATACAACATACTGAGACATCAGCTGAGGCAGCCAAAGGAGTACTGGTATCATCCCTCCCCTCACCCCAGGCTGCACAGCTCAAGGCTCCAAAAGAGACCCCTTCCTTCCACTTCAGAAGAGATGAAGAAAGAGTAGGGAAGACTTTGTCTTGCATCTAGGATACCAGCTCAGCCACAGCACGAGAGAACACTGGTCAGAGTTGAGAGGTCCTTGTTCCAGCACCTAGCTCCCAGGTGACATTTCTAAACACATCCTGGTCCAGAAAGAACCTGCTGCACCAAGTGGGCTGTTGGAGTCCCCAGTTCAAGAATTTGACTCTTAAATGGCATTTCTGGACTTGCCTCAGACCAGACAGAGTCCACTGCCTTAAAGGTTGAGTCTTGGTCCAGACAGCATTCATGAGAAGCTGCCTTAAGAGACCTTGGGCCTTAAGGGAACATTGGTGGTAGTCTGACATACTCCTCATGGCCTGGGGTGGTAATGACTATGGGGTGAGGCTCTTCTGCCTTTGGAAGAGGCAGGAAAGGGTGGGAAGGACTGTGTCTTGTTGTTTGAGTGCCAGCTCAGCTGCAGTACAATAGAACAGCAGGGTGACTTCTAAGGTTTTTGACTGTAGTCCCTGAGTCCTGGAAGGCATTTCTGGACCTATCTGGGGCCTCTAGGACCTCAGCCCCCTGAAAGGAAGAGCACAGGCCTGTCTGGCTTTGCCACCTGAAGATTGTAGAGCCCAAGAGCCTTGAGTGAACACAGGCAGTAGCCAAGGAGTGGTTACAGCAGGCCTTGGGCAAGACCCAGTGCTGTGCTAGCTTCATGTCTGATCTAGCACAGTCATAGTAATGGTATCCACAGGGTGCTTATGTCATTTCATCCCCAACTTTAGATGGCACAAAACAGAGAGAGAGAGAGAGAGAGAGAGAGAGAGAGAGAGAGATTCTGTAGGTTTAAAAGAAAGTAAGGGAAGAGAACTAGAGTCTGCCTGGTAATTCAGGGAATTCTCCAGGATTTTGTCCAAGACCATCAAAGTGCCTCTACAAGTCTGTGAGAACCACAGTGTTACTGGGCTTGGGGTGCCCCCTAAGGCAGACGTGGCTTAGATCACAACACCCCGGTCCTTTCAAATATCTGGAAAGCCTTCCCAAGAAGGGTGGCTACAAATAAGCCCAGACAGTGAAAACTACAATAATACCTAATTCTTCAATGTCAAGACACTGAAGAATGTCTACTGGCATCAACACCATCCAGGAAAACATGACCTCACCAGAAGAACTAAGGCACCAGGGATCAATCAAGGAGAAACAGAGATATTGACCTTTCAGACAGAGAATTCAAAATAACTGTGTTATCAAAAAACTTATCCACTATGATCCGGTTGGCTTCATTCCTGAGAGGCAAGGTTGGTTCAACATATGCAAATCAATAAATGAAAGACAAAACATAACATAAACACATAAACAGAAAGACAAAACAACACATAAACAGAAAAACAAAAACCACATGATTATCTCAATAGATGCAGAAAAGGCCTTCAATAAAATTCAACATCTCTTCATGTTTAAAATGCTCAGTAAACTAGGTATTGAGGGGACATAATTCAAAATAATAACAGCCACATACAACAAGCCCATAGCAAATATCATACTGAATAGGCAAAAGCTGAAAGCCTTCCCCTTGAAAATTGGCACAAGACAAGAATGCCCTCTCTCACCACTCCTATTCAACATAGTATTGTAAGTTCTGGCCAGGGCAATAAGGCAAGAGAAAGAAATAAAAGGTATTCAAATAGGAAGAGAGGAAGTCAAATTATGTTATTAGGATGACATAATCCTATATCTAGAAAACCCCACTGTCTCAGCCCAAAAGCACCTTAAGCTGATAAGCAACTTCAGCCAAGTCTCAGGATATAAAATCAATGTGCAAATATCGCTAGCATTCCTATACACCAAAAACAGGCAAGGAGAGAGCAAAATCATGAATGAACTCCCATTCACAATTCCTACAAAAAGAATAAAATACCTAGGAATATAGCTAACAAAGGAAGTAAAGGACATCTTCAAGGAGAACTACAAACCGCTGCTCAGAGAAACCAGAGAGGATACAGAGAAACATTCCATACTCATGGATAGGAAGAATCAATATCATGAAAATGGCCATAATGCCCAAAGCAGTTTATATATTCAATGCTATTCCCATTTAACTACCATTGACATCCTTCACAGAATATTTTAATAACTATTTTAAAATTCATAGGGAACCAAAAAAGAGCCCGAAGAGCCAAGTCAATCCTAAGCAAAAGAACAAAGCTGAAGGCATCACACTACCCAACTTCAAACTATCCTACAAGGCTACTGTAAACAAAAACAGCATGGTACTGGTACAAGAACAGACACATAGACCAATGGAACAGAATAGAGAACTCAGAAATAAGACTGTACACCAATAGCCATCTGATCATCAACAAACCTGACAAAAACAAGCAATGGGGAAAGGATTCCCTATTTAATAAATGGTGCTGGGAAAATTGGTTAGCCATATGCAGAAAATCGAAACTGGAACCCTTCCTTACAATATATATAAAAATTAACTCAAGATGGATTAAAGACTTAAATGTAAAACTCAAAACTATAAAAACCCTAAAAGAAAATCTAGGCAATATAATTCAGGATATAGGCATGGGCAAAGGTTTCATGACAAAGATACCAAAAGCAATTACAACAAAAGCAAAATTGACAAATGAGATCTAATTAAACTAAAGAGCATCAGCACAGCAAAAGAAATAAAGAGACAACCTACAGAATGAGGGAAAATTTTTGCATCTATCCATCTGACAAAGGACCAGTATCCAGAATCTATAAGGAACTTGAACAAATGTACAAGAAAAAAAAAAAAACCCCACTAAAAAGTGGGCAAAGGACATAAACAGACACTTCTCAAAAGAAGACATACATTGCAGCCAACAAACTTATGAAAAAAATCTCAACATCACTAGTTACCAGAGAAATGCAAATCAAAACCACATGAGATACCATCTCACAACAATCAGAATGGCTATTACTAAAAAGTCAAAAAACAACAGATGTGGGGAAAAAGGAACATTTTTACACTGTTGGTGGGAGTGTCAATTAGTTCAATCACTGTGGAAAGCAGTGTGGAGATTTCTCAAAGAGCTAAAAAAGAACTGCCATTTGACCCAGTAATCCCATTACTGGGTATATACCCAAAGAAATATAAATAATTCTATTATAAAGATGCAAGCATGCATATGTTTATTGTTGCCCTATTTACAATAGCAAAGTCATGGAATGAACCTAAATGCCCATCAATGATAGACTGGATAAGAAAAATGTGGTACATATAAACCATGGAATACTGTGTGGCCACAGTATTTCTTGAGGAAGAAAAATGAGTATGCTTCCAGCTCTTGCCCATTCACTATGATATTGGCTGTGGGTTTGTTGTATATGGCTCTTATTATTTTGAAGTATGTCCCTTCAATACCTAGTTTATTGAGAGTTTTAAACATGAAGCAATATTGAATTTTATCAAAGGCCTTTTCTGCATCTATTGAGATAATCATGTGGATTTTTTTCTTTAATTCTGTTTATGTGATGAATTACATTTATTGATTTGCATGTTGTTGAACCAACCTTGCATCTCAGGAATGAAGCCAACTTGATCGTGGTGGATAAACTTTTTGATAACACAGCTATTTTTAATTATCTGTCTGAAAGGTCACTTTCCCAGACAAACAAAAGCTGAAGGATTTTATCCCAGGTTTATTCTACAATAAATGCTAATGGGGGTACTTCCATCGGAAAGAAAAGAACATTAATGTACAATAAATAATCACCTGAAGGTACAAAACTCAGCAATAATAGTAAATACACAGAAAAACACTGAATATTATAACATTGTAACTGTAGTGTGTAAACTACTCTTATCCTAAGTAGAAAGACTAGATGATGAACCAATCAAAAATAATAAGTAACACAACTTTTCAAAACATACTCGATATAACAAGATATCAATAGAAACAATAAAAAGTTGAAAAACAGACAAAGATAAGACAGAGTTTTTATTAGTTTTCTTTTGGCTTGTTTGTTTGTTTATGCAAATAGCATTAAGGTGTTATCAGGCTAAAATAATGGGTTATAAGATAGTATTTGCAAACCTTATGGTAACCTCAAACCAGAAAACATATAATGGATACACAAAATATAAAAAGCAGAAAGCTAAATTACATCACCAGAGAAAACTTCACTAGAGAAAGACAGAAAAGAAAGAATGAGGAAGAGAAGAGCAGAAAACAGCCAAATAGCAGAAGTGAGTCCTTACTCATCAATAATAACATTGAATGTAAGTGAGCTAAACTATCCAATTAAAAGACAGAGACTGGCTAAATGGATGAAAAGACAAGACCAATTGATCTGTTGCCTACAAGACACACACTTCATGTATAAAGACACACAGAGACTGAATAAAAAGGCATGGAAAGAGATATTTTATGCCAATGGAAACCAAAAATGTAGGAGTCACTATACTTGTATCAGACAAAATAGATGTCAAGAAAAAAACCGTAAGAAGAGACAAAGAAGGTCACTATATAATGATAAAAGGGGTCAATTCAGCAAGAGGATATAACAATTTTAAATGTATATGCACCTCACACTGGAGCACTCAGACATATAAAGGAAATATTGTTAGAGCTAAAGAGTGAGATAGGCCCAATACAATAATAGCTGGAGATTTCAACACCCCACTTTCAGCATTGGACAAAACTTACAGACCAAAATTTAACAGAGACATTAGACTTAATCTGCACTATAGACTAAAAGGACTTAAGAGATATTTACAGGCTGTTTCATCCAAGAACTGCAGAATACACATTCTTTTCCTCAGCACATGGATCATTCTCAAGGACAGACCATATATTAGATCACAAAACACGTCTAAAAACATTCAAAAAAAGTTAAAATGATGTCAAGCATTCTCTCTGACTACAATGGAATAAAACTAGAAATTAATAAGGAGGAATTTTGATAACTATACAAATACATGGAAATTAAACAATATGATCCTGAATGACGAATTGGTCAATGAAGAAATTGAGAAAGAAATTGAAAAAGTTCTTGAAACAAATGATAATTGAAACATAACATATCAAAACCTGAGGAATTTCTGGGAAACTGTGAAACATGCCTCTGAATTACCTTACCAAAAGCAAAAGCAGTACTAAGAGGGAAGTTTATAGCTATAAGTGCCTATATCAAAAAAGAGAAAAAAAACTTCAAAGGAACAATTTAATGATGCATCTAAAAGAACTAGAAAAGCAAGAGCAAAACAAACCCAAAATTAGTACAAGAAAAGAAATAATAAAGATCAGAGCAGAAATACATGAAATTGAAATGAAAAAAATACAAAACATCAATGAAACAAAAAAAAAATTTTAAGTTAAAATTGACAAACCTTTAGCCAGACTAAGAAAAAAAGAGAGAAGATCCAACTAAATAAAATCAGCAATGAAAAGGGGGACATTACAACTGATTCTGCAGAAATTCAAAGAATCATTAGTGGCTACTATAAGCAAATATTAATATATGTCAATAAATTGGAAAATCTAGAAGAAATGGATGAACTCCTAGATATATACTACCTACCAAGATTGAACCAGGACAAAATCCAAAACCTGAACAGACCAGTAACAAGTAACAAGATCGAAGCCATAATAAAAAGTCACCCATTAAAGAAAAGCCCAGAACCTGATAGCTTCATTGCTGACTTCTACCAAACATTTAAATAATTAATACCATTATTACTCAAACTATTCCAAAAAATAAAGGAGGAAGGAATACTTCCAAACTCATTCTACAAGGCCAGGATTACCCTGATACCAAAACCAGGACAAATCAAAAAGAAAACTACAGCCCAATATCTCTGATAAATATTGATGCAAAAATCCTCAACAAAATACTAACAAACCAAATTCAGCAATACATTAGGAAGATCATTCATCATGACCCAGCGGGATTTATCCCTGGGATGCAAGGATGGTTCAACATATTCAAATCAATGTGATATATCATATCAAAAAAAAAAGATAGAAACTATATGATATTTCAATTGATGCTCAAAAAGCATTTGATAAAATTCAATATCTTTTCATGATTTAAAAAACCCTAAAAAACTGAAGATAAAAGGAACATACCTCAACATAATAAAAGCCATATACAACAGACTTACAGCTTGTGTCATACTGAATGGGGAAAAACTGAAAGCCTTTCCTCTAAGACCTGAAACACAGCAAGGATGCCCACTGTCACCACTTTTATTCTACACAGTACTGGAAGTCTTACCTAGAGCAGACAAGAGAAAGATATAAAGGTCATCCAAGTTGGAAAGAAAGATGTCAAATTGTTTTCAGATGATATAATCTTATATTTGAAAAAACCTGAAGATTCCACCAAAAAACTATTAGAACGAGCTGATAAACAGATTCAGTAAAGTTGCGGGATACAAAATCAAAATTCAAAATTCAGTACCATTTCTATATCCCAACAGTGAACAATGTGAAAAAAATAATAAAAAGTAATCCCATTTACAATAACCACATATAAAATTAAACACCTAGAAATTAACTTAACCAAAGAAGTGAAAGATCTCTATAATGAAAACTATAAAACACTGATGAAAGAAATTGAAGAGGACACCAAAAAATGGAAACATTTCATGTACATGGATTGGAATAACCAATATTAAAACGCCTATACTACCCAAAGCAATCTATTGATTCAATGTAATCTCTATCAAAATACTAATGACATTCTTCACAGAAATAGAAAAAAAATCCTAAAATTTATATGGAACTAAAAAAGACCCAGAATAGCCAAAGCTATTCTAACCAAAAAAGAATAAAACGGGAGGAATCACATTACCTAACTTCACATTGTACTACAGAGCTATAGTAACCAAAACAGCATGGTACTGGCATAAAAACAGACATATAGACCAATGGATCAGAACACAGAACCTAGAAACAAATCCACACACCTACAGTGAACTCATTTTTGACAAAGTTGCCAAGTACATACACTGGGGAAAAGACAGCCTCTTCAATAAGTGGTGCTGAGAAAACCAGACATTCAGACGCAGAAGAATAAAACTAGATGCCTATTTATCACCACATACAAAAATAAAATCAAAATGAATTAAAAACTTAAATCTAAGACCTCAAACTATGAAACTGCTACAAAAAAAATTGAGGAAAATCTCCAAGACATTGATTTGGGCAAAGATTTATTGAGCAATACCCCTTAAGCACAGGCAACCAAAGCAAAAAATGGACAAATGGGATCACATCAAATTTAAAAGCCTTTGTGTAGTAAAGCATACAATTAACAAAGTAAAGAAACAACCCACAAAATGGGATAAAATATTTAAAACTACCCATCTGAAAAGGGATAAATCACTCAACTATAAAAGGAGCTCAAACAACTCTATAGGAAAAAGTCTAATAATCTGATCAAAAAATGGGCAAAAGATTTGAATAGACATTTCTCAAAAGATGACATACAAATGGCAAACAGGCATACGAAAAGGTCTTCAACATCACTGGTCATCAGAGAAATGCAAATCAAAACTACAATGAGATATCATCTCATCCAGTTAAAAGTCTTTTATCCAAAAGACAGGGAATAACAAATGCTGATAATTACGTGGTGAAAAAGGAACACTTGTACACTGTTGGTGGGAATGTAAATTAGTACAACCACTATGGAGGACAGTTTGGATGTTCCTCAAAAAACTAAAAATTGAGCTACTATATGATCAGCAATCCCACTGCTGGGTATATACCCAAAAGAAAGAAAATTAGTATACTGAAGAGATATCTGCACTCCTATATTTGTTACAGCACTGTTTACAATAGTTAAGATTTGGATGCAACCTAAGTGTCCATCAACAGATGAATGGATAAAAAAAAAATATGGTACATATACACAATGAAGTACTATTCGGCCATAAAAAAGAATGAGATCCAGTCATTTGCAACAACATGGATGGAACTGGAGATCATTATGTTAAGTGAAATAAGCCAGACACCGCAAGACAAACATCGCATGTTCTCACTTATTTGCTGGATCTAAAACGCAAAACAATTGAATTAATGACATAGAGAGTAGAATGATTACCAGAGGCTGGGAAAGGTTGTTGGGTGTTGGAGGTGGGGAGGTTGGGATGGTTAATGGGTACAAAAAAATAGAATGAAAAAGACCTACTGTTTCACACCACAATAAGGTGACTATAGTCAATAATTAAATTATACAGTTTACAATAACTTAAAGAGTATAATTGGATAGTTTGCAACTTAAAAGATAAATGCTTGAGGAGATGTTTACCCCATTCCCCATTATGCACTTATTTAACATTGCATGCCTATATCAAAACACCTCATGTACCCCATAAATATACACACATACTACGTACCTAAAACAATTTTAAAAATCAAAAATTAGAAAAAAAACTGACAAAAAACTTCTAATGTTTTCAAATATTTAAAGTATTTTTCAAAAGAAAAGATAAGATACTTACATTTTCTAACATTGTTGGATTGGATAAAGAAAATTTGGGCTCTCCCTCTCCCTCTCCCTCTCCCCACGGTCTCCCTCTCCCTCTCTCCACGGTCTCCCTCTGATGCCGAGCTGAAGCTGGACGGTACTGCTGCCTGATTCTCCTGTCTCAGCCTGCCGACTGCCTGCGATTGCAGGCGCGCGCCACCATGCCTGACTGGTTTTCGTATTTTTTTGGTGGAGACGGGGTTTCGCTGTGTTGGCCGGGCTGGTCTCCAGCTCCTAACCGCGAGTGATCCGCCAGCCTCGGCATCCTGAGATGCCGGGATTGCAGACAGAGTCTCGTTCACTCCGTGCTCAATGGTGCCCTGGCTGGAGTGCAGTGGCGTGATCTCAGCTGGCTACAACCTCCACCTCCCAGCAGCCTGCCTTGGCCTCCCAAAGTGCCGAGATTGCAGCCTCTGCCCGGCCGCCACCCCGTCTGGGAAGTGAGGACCGTCTCCGCCTGGCCGCCCATCATCTGGGATGTGAGGAGCCCCTCTGCCTGGCTGCCCAGTCTGGAAAGTGAGGAGCGTCTCTGCCCGGCCGCCATCCCATCTAGGAAGTGAGGAGCGCCTCTTCCCGGCCGCCATCCCATCTGGGAAGTGAGGAGCGTCTCTGCCTGGCCGCCCATCGTCTGAGATGTGGGGAGCACCTCTGCCCTGCCGCCCCGTCCAGGATGTGAGGAGCGTCTCTGCCCGGCCGTCCTGTCTGAGAAGTGAGGAGCCCCTCCGCCCGGCAGCCGCCCCGTCTGAGAAGTGAGGAGCCCCTCCGCCCGGCAGCCACCCCGTCTGGGAAGTGAGGAGCGTCTCTGCCCGGCAGCCACCTTGTCCGGCAGGGAGGTTCGGGGGTCAGCCCCTCGCCCGGCCAGCCGCCCCGTCTGGGAGGGAGGTGGGGGGGTCAGCCCCCCGCCCGGCCAGCCGCCCCGTCCGGGAGGTGAGGGGTGCCTCTGACAGGCCGCCCCTACTGGGAAGTGAGGAGCCCCTCTGCCCGGCCAGCCGCTCCGTCCAGGAGGGAGGTGGGGGGGTCAGCCCCCGCCCAGCCAGCCGCCCCGTCCGGGAGGGAGGTGGGGGGGGGTCAGCCCCCCACCTGGCCAGCCACCCCGTCCGGGAGGTGAGGGGCGCCTCTGCCCAGCCGCCCCTACTGGGAAGTGAGGAGCCCCTCTGCCCGGCCAGCCGCTCCGTCCAGGAGGGAGGTGGGGGGGTCAGCCCCCGCCCAGCCAGCCACCCCGTTCGGGAGGGAGGTGGGGGGGTCAGCCCCCCACCCGGCCAGCCGCCCCATCCGGGAGGTGAGGGGCGCCTCTGCCCGGCCGCCCCTACTGGGAAGTGAGGAGCCCCTCTGCCCGGCCAGCCGCCCCGTCCGGGAGGGAGGTGGGGGTGTCAGCCCCCCGCCCGGCCAGCCGCCCCATCCGGGAGGGAGGTGGGGGGGTAAGCGCCCCGCCCGGCTAGCCGCCCCGTCCGGGAGGTGAGGGGCGCCTCTGCCCAGCCGCCCCTACTGGGAAGTGAGGAGCCCCTCTGCCCGGCCAGCTGCCCCGTCTGGGAGGGAGGTGGGGGGGTAAGCCCCCCGCCCGGCTAGCTGCCCCATCTGGGAGGTGAGGAGCGCCTCTGCCCGGCCGCCCCTACTGGGAAGTGAGGAGCCCCTCTGCCCGGCCAGCTGCCCCGTCCGGGAGGGAGGTGGGGGGTCAGCCCCCCGCCCGGCCAGCCGCCCCGTCCGGGAGGGAGGTGGGGGGGTCAGCCCCCTGCCCGGCCAGCCGCCCCGTCCGGGAGGTGAGGGGCGCCTCTGCCCGGCCGCCCCTACTGGGAAGTGAGGAGCCCCTCTGCCCGGCCACCACCCCGTCTGGGAGGTGTACCCAACAGCTCATTGAGAACGGGCCATGATGACAATGGCGGTTTTGTGGAATAGAAAGCGGGGAAGGGTGGGGAAAAGATTGAGAAATCGGATGGTTGCCGTGTCTGTGCAGAAAGAGGTAGACGTGGGAGACTTTTCATTTTGTTCTGTACTAAGAAAAATTCTTCTGCCTTGGGATCCTGTTGATCTGTGACCTTACCCCCAACCCTGTGCTATCTGAAACATGTGCTGTATCCACTCAGGGTTGAATGGATTAAGGGCGGTGCAAGATGTGCTTTGTTAAACAGATGCTTGAAGGCAAAAAAAAAAAAAAAAAGAAAATTTGGTACCTATACACAATGGAATACTACACTGTCATAAAAAAGGAAATAATGTTGTTTGCAGCAACATGGATGCAGTTGCAGGTCACATCATCCTAAGTGAATTAATGCAGGAACAGAAAATGAAATACCACATTTTTCACTTATAAGTGGGAGCTAAACATTGGGTATACATGGACATAAAGATGGCAACAATAGACACTAAGGATTACTAGAGAGGTGAGGAAGGGAAGGAGGCAAGGGTTGAAAACCTAATTATTAAGTACTATACTCACTACCTAGATGATGGGATCAATCATACCCCAAACATCAGCATCATACAATATACCCATGAAACAAACCTACACAAATACCCCTTAAATCTAAACATTGGACTTATTTTTTTTTAATAATAATAAATAAATAAATAAATAAATATGTTGAAAAAACTCATCACCAGCAGAGCACACTTCAAGAAATGTTAACGAAAGTGGTCCTTCAGGTATAACGGAAATTGTATCAAATGGAAATGTAGATCCATAAAAGAATTAAGAGCACTATGGTAAATATGGTAACTATGCAGGTAAATATAAAAGGCTACCATTCTCCTTGCTTAAATTTCCTTAAAAATCACTGAATATTTAAATAAAAAATAAATAGCAATGCATCATGGGGTTTATAACATATGTAGAAATAAAATATGTGAAAACAATAGCAAAATACTTAGGAAGAGAGAAATGGAAATATACCGTTGTAAGGTTCTTATATAATGTGGTATACAATCACTTGAAAATAACAATTACAATTTAAAGATATGTACTATAAACTAAATCAATCTCAAATAAAGAAGGAAGAAGAAAAGAAGGAAAAGGAAAGAAAGGAAAAGAAAGCCAATTGTTAAACATAGTCATTGTTTTATTTTATGGACCTTTGTTGGTTTTTATCCATAAAATAAAAAAATAACTATGTCATTATAATGAACCTAAAAAATGATAGTGAAAAGTGAATAAAAACCAGATTAGACAAATAGAAAATACATAGCAAGATAGTAGTTTAAACCCAACCACCTCAATTATCACAATAATTGTAAATTGTATAAATATCCCAATGTAAAGAGAAATATTATCAAAATGGATTTTAAAAACATAACCCAAATATTTGCTACCTATGAGAAATTCATTTCACATATAAAGACACCAATAGGTTAAAAGTTAAAGGCTGAGAGAAAAAAAGAACATAATGTGCTAATATTAATCAAAAGTAAGCTGGGATAATTACATCAATATCAGACAAAGTTGATTTCAGAGCAAAGAATATTACCAGGGATGAAGTATTTCATTTCATAATGATAAAGAGATCAATTCATCAGGGGAGAAAACAATACTAAAAGATTATATGCCTAATAACAGCACTTCAAAATTAATGTAGTGAAACCAATAGAACTGCAAGAAAAAAAGAGTCAAATCCGTAATTACAGCTGAAGATTTCAACACCACCTCCTAATAGTTGATATCACAGGAAAACAATAAAGTATATAGGACACTTAAATTGCATTTAAACCAAGATGACCTAATTGACATTTAGAATGTCTAGTCAACAATAAGATATACATTCTGTTGTTTACATGAACATGTATTTATAGAAATCATATTATGAGCTATTAGAGTAGGCTCAATAAATTTTAAAGGATTTAAATCATACAAAGCATGTTCTCAAGCCACAATGGAACCAAATTAAAAATAAAACACATAAACTATGTAAGAAAACCTCTCTAAAGCAGGAGTTCCCAACCTGGTACCACGGCCTGTTAGGAACCAGGACACACAGCAAGAGTTGAACAGCAGGTAAGCAAGAAAAGCTTCATCTGTATTTACAGCAGCTCCCCATTGCTAGCATTACCACCTGAGTTCTACCTCCTGTCAGATCTGTGGTGGCATTAGATTATCATAAGAGCACGAACCCTATTGTGAACTGTGCAATATGAAGGATCTTAGTTGCACACACCTTACAAGAATCTAATTCCTAACGATCTATTGCTGTCTCTCATTACCCCCAGATGGGATTGTCTAGTTGCAGGAAAACAAGGTCAGGGCTCCCACTGATTCTACATTATGGTGAGTTACATAATTATTTCATTACATATTACAATGTAATAATAATATAAATAAAGTGCACAGTAAATGTGCTTGAATCATCCTAAAACTTACCATTCCCCAGTTCATGAAAAATTGTCTTCCATGAAACCAGTCCTTGGTATCAAAAAGGTTGGGGATTTCTGCTCTAAAGAAACTGTGCCAAAGAAGAAATCAAAAGGGAAGCTAGAGAAAGTATTTTAAACTACATGACAATAAAAAAAAAAAATCTCAAAATTTGTGAGATGCAGCTAAGTGGAGGTTAGAGGAAAATATGTAATAATAAATGATCTTGTTAGAAAATAAACATTTCAAATAAATGACCTCAGTTTCCACCTTAATTTGTCAAACTGAAAGAAGGAGAGCAAACTAAAGACATCATATGCAAAAGAAAATGAATAATAAAGATTAGAATGAAAACCAATGACATATATAGGAGAAAGGCAATGGAGAAAATAAATTAAATGGAAAGTAGTTTCTTAGGGGCCTGTTGTGGGGTGGGGGGAGGGGGGAGGGATAGCAATAGGAGATATACCTAATGTAAATGACAAGTTAATGGGTGTAGCACACCAACATGGCACATGTATACATATGTAACAAACCTGCACGTTGTGCACATGTACCCTAGAACTTAAAGTATAATAAAATATATATATATATATATAAAAGACAGAAAAAAAAATAAAATTGGTAACTCCTAGCCAGACTCACAAGAAAAAAAAGGAAGGAAAAATTGTTAATATCAGAGATATGAGAGGTGATATCACTACAGAATCTATAGAAATTAAAAAGATAAAAATTATGAGCAACTATACACCAATAAATTTGAAATATTAAATGAAATTAACTTCTTGAAAGACACAAATTCAAACTCACTCAAGAAAAAATACATTATTATAAAGACACACAACTTTTTTTTAATTGAATCCATACTTTAAAACCTTTAAGGTAATAAGGGGGGTGGGGCCAAGATGGCCTACCAGAAGTAGCAGTGATCAGAGGCTCCTATTGAAAAGAATCATAATTAGCGAGTGAATTCTGCACTGGCAACCAAGCTATCCAGGTTCTCTCATCAGAATTGACTAGGTGGCTGGCATGATCCACAGAGAGGAAGGAAGGGCAGTGTGGTATGGAAGATCCCACTTGTGAACCCACACCACCAGGGCCTAAGGTCCGAACCCCAGAGCCTCAAACATTCTCAACAGCCTCTCAACTAGAATCTGCTTTAGACTGCCAAGTTCCCAAGGGGAGGGGTGACCAGCACCACAGCTGTGGCTGCCTGCTGTCTAAGCCATTTGAACTCCTTGGAAAAGGGGCTGCATCCAGCACTGGGACTCATAACTGCCTAACATGATAAGTTCTGTGAGTGGGGGAAAGGTGGCAGCTATCTCTGTAGCTCCAAGCTGTGCTTTTCCCCTGCTGGAGCCAGGGAGGCTGTATGGCTTAGTCCAAAGAGGTGTTCCCCACAGCCCAACATACCAGCTGTGGCAGACTGTGGCCAGAGCACCTTTTCAGGCCTGACCCTGACCCATCCTTCCTCACTGGGTGGGGCCTCCCTGCGGGAACTGCAAAAACTCCAGCCAGAGGCTCAAGGACAAAACCCTGACCTCCCTGGGCCTGAGCCCTTAGCGGGAGGGGTGGCTGCATTCTCTTCAGACCAGCAAGCTTAGCCTTTTCCTCCTAGCAGTTCTAAGAAATCCAGGCAGCCTAGATGAGTGGGTTTCCCTCCAGTGAAGCCCACCCCCTCCACTAAGGACAGTCAAAGTGCTTTGTTAAACAGATCCTGTCCCCTATATAGGTTGTCAGACACCCTATACAGGAGCAATCCTACTGGTGTCAGGTTGGTCTCAGCAGTCCTGGTCAGAAATTACTGGTGTCAGCAACCCTACTGCCCCTCAAAGTCAGAGATCCCAGAAGAAAGAGCAGGCACCCATTTTTGCTGTTCTCCAGGCTCTTTGAGTGACATCCCCAAGTGTGGGAGTGAACCAAATGAATAGGGCCTGAAGTGAACCCCCAGCAAACTGCAGCAGCCCTACAGAAGAGGGACCTGACCATTGAAAGAAAAACAAACAAACAGAAAGCAACAACAACAACATCAACAAAAACAAAAAAGTCCCCATGAAAACCCCATCCAGGGGTCAGCAGCCTCAAAGATTGAAACTAGACAAACTCATGAATATGAGAATGAATCAAATGAAAAAATGCTGAAAACCCAAAAAGCCAGAGTGCCTCTTTTCCTCCAATGATTGCAATGCCTCTCCAGCAAGGGTGCTGATGGACGGAGGATAAGATGGAAGAACTGACAGAAGTAGGCTTCAGAAGATAGGTAATAAGAAACTCCACTGAGCTAAAGGAGCATGTTCTAATCCAATGCAAAGAAGCTAAGAACCTTTGTAAAAGGTTAGAGGAGCTGCTAACTAGAATAACCAGTGTAGAGAGAAACATAAATGACCTGATGGAGCTGAAAAACACAACACAAGAACTTTGTGAGGCATACATAAATATCAAAAGCTGAATTGACCAAGTGGTAGAAAAGATATCAGTGTTTGGGCTGGGTGCAGTGGCTCACACCTGTAATCCTAGCATTTTGGGAGGTTGAGGCAGGTGGATTGCCTGAGCTCAGGAGTTTGAGACCAACCTGGGCAACATGGCAAAACCCTGTCTCTACTACAAATACAAAAATTAGCTGGGCATGGTGGCACATGCCTGTACTGCCAGGTACTTGGGAGGCTGAGGCAGTAGAGTCACTTGCACCCAAGAGGCAAAGGTTGCAGTGAGTCAAGATCATGCCACTGTGCTCCAGCCTAGCCAACAGAGCGAGACTCCGTCTCAAAAAAAAAAAAAAAAAAAAAAAAAAAAAAAAAAAAAAAAAAATCAGAGCTTGAAGACCACCTTGCTGAAATAAGGCATGCAGACAAGATTAGAGAAAAAAGAATGAAAAGGAATGAATAAATGAACTAAGGCTCCATATGGGACTATGTAAAAGTAGCAAACCTACGATTGACTGGAGTACCTGAAGGAGAAGGGGAGAATGGAAACAAGCTGGAAAACACACTTCAGGATATTATCCAGGTGCACTTCCCCAACCTAGCAAGACAGGCCAACATGTAAATTTGGTAAATACAGAGAACATCATTAAGATACTACATGAGAAAGACCAACCCCAAGACACGTAATTATCAGATCCTCCAAAGTCTAAATAAAGGAAAAATGTTAAGGGCAGCCAGAGAGAAAGGCCAGGTCACCTACAAAGGGAAGCCCATAAGACTAAAAGTGGACCTCTCAACAGAAACCCTACAAGCCAGATGAGATTGGGGGCCAATATTCAACATTCTTAAAGAAAAGAATGTTAAACCCAGAATTTCAAATCCAGCCAAACTCAGCCTCATAAGCAAAGGAGAAATAAAATCCTTTACAGACAAGCAGATGATTTCATCACCACCAGCCCTGCCTTGCAAGAGCTCTTGATGGAAGCACTAAATATGGAAAGGAAAAGTTGGTACCAGCCACTGCAAAAACACATCAAAATGCAAAGACCAATGACACTATGAAGAAACTGCACCAACTAGTGTGCAAAATAACCAGATATCATCATGAGGACAGGATCAAATTCGCACATAATAATATTAACCTTAAATGTAAATGGGCTAAGTGCCCCAATTAAAAGACACAGACTGGCAAACTGGATAAAGAGTCAAGACCCATTGGTGTGCTGTATTCAGGAGACCCATCTCATGTGCAAAGACACACATAGGCTCAAAATAAAGGGATGGAGGAAAATTTACCAAGCAATGGAAAGCAAAAAGAAGCAGGGGTTTCAATCCTAGTCTGTGATAAAACAGACTTTAAACCAACAAAGATCAAAAAAGACAAACAAGGTTGTTATATAATGGTAAAGGGAACAATTCAACAAGAAGAGCTATCATAAATATATATGCACCCAATACAGGAGCACTCAAATTCATAAAACAAGCTATTAGATACCTACAAAGAGACTTAGACTCCCAGACAATAATAGTTGGAGACTTTAACACCCTGATGTCAATATTAGACAGATCAATGAGACAGACAATTAATGAGGATATTTAGGACTTGAACTCTGCTCTGCACCAAGCAGACCTAATAGACATCTACAGAACTCTCCACCCCAAATCAACAGAATATACACTCTTCTCTGTGCCACATGGCACTTATTCTAAAATCAACCACATAAATGGAACTAAAACACTTCTCAGAAAATGCAAAAGAAATGAAATCACAACAAACAGTTTCTCAGATCATGGTGCAATCAAATTAGAACTCAGGATTAAGAAACTCACTCAAGACCACACAATTCCATGGAAATTGAACAACCTACTCCTGAATGACCCCTGGGTAAACAATGAAATTAGAGCAGAAATCAAGACGTTCTTTGAAACCAATGAGAACAAAGAGACAACGTACCAGAAGCTCTGGGACACAGCTAAAGCGGTGTTAAGAAGGAAATTTATAGCACTAAATGTCCACATCAGAAAGCTAGAAAGATCTCAAATCAAGACGCCAACATCACAATTAAATGACCTAAAGAGGCAAGAGCAAACTAGCACAAAAGCTAGCAGAAGACAAGAAATAACTAAGATCAGAGCAGAATTGAAGGAGATGGGAACACACATACAAAAAAAGCCCTCCAAAAAAAAAAATCAATGAATCCAGGAGCTGGTGTTTTGAAAAAATTAACAAAATAGATATACTGCTAGTTAGACTAATAAGGAAGAAAAGAAAGAAGAATCAAATACACACCAGTTAGAATGGCGATCATTAAAAAGTCAGGAAACAACAGGTGCTGGAGAGGATGTGGAGAAATTGGAACACTTTTACACTGTTGTTGGGACTGTAAACTAGTTCAACCATTGTGGAAGTCAGTGTGGTGATTCCTCAGGGATCTAGAACTAGAAATACCATTTGACCCAGCCATCCCATTACTGGGTATATACCCAAAGGATTATAAATCATGCTGCTATAAAGACACATGCACACGTATGTTTATAGTGGCACTATTCAAGTAGCAAAGACTTGGAACCAACCTAAATGTCCAACAACGATAGACTGGATTAAGAAAATGTGGCACATATACACCATGGAATACTATGCAGCCATAAAAAATGATGAGTTCATGTCCTTTGTAGGGACATGGATGAAACTGGAAACCATCATTCTCAGCAAACTAACGCAAGGACAAAAAACCAAACACCGCATGTTCTCACTCATAGGTGGGAATTGAACAATGAGAACACATGGACACAGGAAGGGGAACATCACACACTGGGGACTGTTGTGGGGTAGGGGAGGGGGAAGGGGTAGCATTAGGAGATATACCTAATGCTAAATGACGAGTTAATGGGTGCAGCACACCAACATGGCACATGTATACATATGTAACAAACCCGCACGTTGTGCACATGTACCCTAAAACTTAAAGTATAATAATAATAAAATTTAAAAAAAAAATTTTAAATGATGAACTCAAAAAAAAGAAGATATTGTTTACAATGTAGTATTTATTCAGAAGAGTCTGCAATACCTAAATGGATAGCATCTACTAATTTTCAAACCTGTGTATTCAGTACCCAGATTAAGAAATATAACAACCCCCATGACACAAGTTTACCTATGGAACAAACCTGCACTTGTACCCCTGAACTTAAAATACAAGTTAAAAAAAAGAAATTAAAAAAAAGAATCAAATAGACACAATAAAAAATGATAAAGGAGATCTCACCACTGACACTGCAGAAATACAAACTACATCACAGAATACTATAAACACCCCTACACAAATAAACTAGAAAATCTAGAAGAAATGGATAAATTCCAGGACGCATACACTCTCCCAAGACTAAACCAGGAAGTTGAGTCCCTGAATAGACCAATAACGAATTCTGAAATTGAGGCAGTAATTAATAGCCTACCAACCAAGAAAAGGCGAGGACCAGACGGATTCACAGCCAGAGGTACAAAGAGGAGCTGGTACCATTCCTTCTGAATCTATTCTAAACAATTGAAAAGGAGGGGCTCCTCCCTAACTCATTTTATGAAGCCAGCATCATCTTGATACCAAAAGCTGGCAGAGGCACAACAACAAAAAAGAAACTTTCAGGCCAATATCCCTGAAGAACATTGATGTGAACATCCTCAATAAAATATTGGCAAACCGAATCCAGCAGCACATCAAAAAGCTTATCCACCATGATCAAGTTGGCATCATCCCTGAGATGCAAGGCTGGTTCAACATATGCAAATCAATAAATGTAATCCATCACATAAACAGAACCAAAGACAAAAGTCACATGATTATCTCAATAGATGTAGAAAAGGCCTTTGATAAAATTCAACATCCCTTCGTGTTAAAAACTCTCAATAAACTAGGTATTGATGGAACATATCTCAAAATAATAAGAGCTATTTATGACAAACCCACAGCCAATATTATATTGAATGGGCAAAGCTGGAAGCATTCCCTTTGAAAACCTGCACAAGACAAGGATGGCCTCTCTCACCACTCCTATTCAACATAGTATTGGAAGTTCTGGCAAGGTCTGCACCCTCAGCCTCCTGGGCTCAAGTGATTTTCCTGCCTTCTCAGCACCCCCTACCCCCACCTCAACCCCAGCCTCCAGTAGCTGAGACTACAGGCATGCACCACCATGCCTCACTAATTTTTATTTTTTTAATAGAGATATTGATTTTTGCAGTGTTGCCCAGGCTGGTCTCAAACTCTTGAGCTCAAGCAATCCACCCACCTGCTTCACTCTCCTAAAGTGCTAGGGTTACCATTGTGAGCCACTGCGCTCCCGCCTCCATTCTCGCCACTTCTATTTAACACTGTACTGGAAGTGCTGGCCACTACAATTAGACAAGATAAAGAAATAAAACATATTCAAATTTAAGAGGAAAAATTAAAATGCATGTATTCACAGACAATTATAATGAAATGTGAATTTTTCTAAATACCAAGTTTATATACACTATAAAAAGAGATTTGTTTAAATACTACATGGTAAAAGACTATTTATGTAACAAACAGAAAATGGAAGAATAAATCATAATATTAAAAATTAATTACCTGTAGGTAAAGAATATTGTGGAGGAGACTAGGATATTCAGTATTTCTCTGAACAGGTCTTTATATAGATTTAACTTTAGAACCACATACATGGTTGTAAAAAATTAAATTTAAGAAATCATCTTCAAAAAACTTAAAATAAAATTTAAAAAGCTACATGTGTATCCACCTAGTCATGTAACCACACAGAGAGGAAGATCAAAGGAACTTCAAAAATAGTATCCAAATTATAGTGTTTGTAGAAGGGCTGGTGTTATTATTCTGATACTGTTGTGTGTGTATTGTGGCATATAGCAAATAAGTAGCATGTGATATTCTATCATTCCTGTTGCAAACTAAGCATGCTCAGTGATACTTAGAGAACTGGACTTCCTACAGTCACAAAACTTGGAAGATCTAATTATTGTCATTTAATTGTTACAGAAATGTAAAGACTGGCCAGTCTGAAAAACCTGAAAACATTAAGTTACATCTGACTTCTAGGTAAATGTGAGTTTACTATCTTTAGGAGTTTTGAGGAAGTAGAATACTAATAGAAATAAGAGATAATCACTTGAAATGTTAGTTGAAGTTAAGTTCCATTTCTCTTGGCTATATAAAGCATATTTGACAACAAGAGACTACCTCAAGTTAAAAATAGTGTGGTAGAGAAAGAAATCACAAACCCTGTGTTCAAGCCCTGGATCAGTTAAGGCTGACTTTGAGCCGAGGGTTGTGAACTGGATAATCTCCACCGTCTCTTGCAGTGTTCAAACTCTGTCGTGGTCCCAGTAAGCATAAAAAATGCCAACCACAGCCTACTCTTTGAGTTCAGTAGTTTCATTAGTAAATAGGCTTACTCATCAGTGAATGCTCAATCTCATTTGAAAGGTGTATAATATATATATTTTTTAAAACAATGATATCCCAAGCCTCCACAACCAGACCACAGCAGACATTGGCACCAATATGTTTATCTGGAAGAAAAAGTAACAGAAACTATATCATTAGAGAGGATAACTACAATAAAAATCTCAGGATTGGAAAGCCTGAACAATACCAATTTACCACAAGAGTCCACAAATTGAAGGCCACATTTGCCAGACATGGAATTCCTGAAAGGATTATCTCTGACAATGAGCCACAGTTGTCCTCAAAGGAATTTCCACATTTTGCCAAAACATGGAATTTTGAATACTGCACAGTTAGTCCACATTACCACAGAGCTAGGCAGTTTGCATTGGGACAGTGGTGAAAAACTAAAGAAATAAAACTCCAAAACACACTGGACCAAGCTGAGACTAATGATAAAGGTCCCTGCCTCAGACTATTTGGAGCAAGGAATGCATTGTGGGCAACTTCCAATTACCTTCCCCAGTTATTGAGTCAGCATCTCCCATGGAATGTGAGGGCCTATGGTAGTGAGTCTACTCCTCACACAAATATTGTAAAAGTGAATAAAACCAAATACAATAAACAACTCACACCACCAGGCCCTGGCCTAACCCCTCAGCCTGTGAGAAATCCTCTCCCTTGGAAATTAGGGTTAATGCCAAATACTGAAATAGGAGGTATTCTTGCTGGTGTTTGTTTATGTTTAAGATGACACCATAGTCCCACAGGGAACATGGTAGAAAAAAAATCAATAATTTATCTAGGCATGGGGGCTAATGCCCATAATCCCAGCACTTTGGGAGGACAAAGCAGGAGGATTGCTTGAACTCAGGAGTCTGAGACTAGCCTGGTCAACATGCAAAATCCCATTTCTACAAAAAATACAAAAATTAGCCAGGCATGGTGGCACATGCCTGTAGTCCCAGCTACCTGTGGGGATGAGGTGAAAGGATCACTTGGGCCCAGGGTGCCTTAACAACTCAGCAGCAGTGAGCTGAGATCATGCCACTGCACTCCAGCCTGGATGACAAAGCAAGACCCTGTTTCAAAAGAAAGAAAAAATCAATAATTTATTCAGCAAGTAAGATTGCAGCATCAAATATGAGCCTAGACCTGTGCTAACAAAGTGCAATCCCGTCTCAGTCAAGGCCATCTCGTGGCATGTAAAATAAATCTCTTAAGCTCTCTTAAGGAAGATAAAATGAGAATTTATTGCATAGATTACAGGAACATAACATGGAAGCCTACAGCAAACAGTGCAGTTGGTTCTCCTGAGGGCTGTAATTATGAACTTGAAAGGTGACAGGAGCCAAGGCAGATTCTGGTCCTTATCTCTGCTTTTCTGTGTACATCTTGTTTCTTCTCCCTGCCTGCTCATAGCATAAGACAGTTGCCTGTAGTAGGCAGCCTCCAAAATGACCCCCAGTGATCCCCACATCCTAGTAATCCCCTATCCTTGGTGAATTGGGTATGAGATGGACCTTGTAACTCACTTCTAATCTAGAATACAGCAAAAACAATGGTATGTCACTTCCGAGATTATGTTAAAGAGGATGTGGCTTCCATCCCAAACACTTGCACTCTTTGGTTCATTCTGATTGAAGGCAGCTGCTTTTTCATGAACTAGCCTATGAAAAGACCCACAATCAAACAACAGCCTCCAAACAACAGCCAGTGAAGAACCAAGACTCTCTGTCAAACAGCCCATGAGGAACTGAATCCTGTTACAACCATTTGAGTGACAATGAGCTTGGAAATGGAACTTACCTCAGTTGGGCATTTTGATGAGATTGCAGTCACAGCCAGAAATTTGATGACAGGCTTGCAAGAGACCTTGAGGTGGAAGCATCTAGATAACTTACACCCAGTTTTCTGGCCCACAAAATTTGAGATGATAAATGTTTGTTGTTAAAAGGTTCTAAGTTTGAAGGTAATTTTTTAAGGTATCTAACTAATACAGATTTTGGTACCATAACAAATACTTAGAAATACGGGAGCAGCTTTGGAACTGGGCAGTGGATATAGGTCAAATGAGTTTTGAGGAGCATGTTTAAAGAAAGCCTAAATTGTCTTGAATATATTTTTAGTAGAAATCTCGACTTTGGGGACCTGCTGGTGAGGGCTCAAAGCAAGAAGTTAGGAACAATCAATCTTCTTAACAACAGTTTTTTTATGATTGAGCAAAGGAAAGTTGTTAGAAGAAGAAGGGTTATTAAGGACTAAAGATCTTTCTGGTATCAGGGACACTGTGGCTTGCTGGTTTCAGGTAAAAAAAAGTTTCTCATTCCGCTCCATGGCAGTCAAGTTTTCTGACTTCTAGATAGTATATATTACCAGAATGCTGGCTCAGTGAGTGAAAAGATAAGAAAGGAAATAGCAAAGGTGAGCACTGACAGTACAAAGAGATGAGAGGAAAAGAAGACTAGAAGTAGATAAGATGTGCTTTAAGTCTAGAAGAAATAGACAATATAATCTGATGAGTTACAGTACTACCGATGGTTTTGAACGTGAAACTTAGAAATTGGAGACAGATGTACAAAAAGTAATGCTTCCAGGCTGTCACTGAAGTAAACTAGGAGTCTATTGAAGTTTCCTTGGCTTTGTGGCACCTGTACTTACCAAAGGTGAACAGAGAAAAATTATAATCATTATCTGCATAACCCCACTCTATCCCCTCACCACCTCACCAAAAAAAATGTTCCCTTAAAGTTTTCGCTGAAACTCTTATCTGTCATATCCTGGGCAGCTCACAGTGATAACAGTACTAGTAATTACCAGTAATATCAGCAATTGCTACTGCTTATTGAGCCCTGGCCAAGTCTTAAGCACTGAAGTAAGCATCTTTGGTACATAATGTCATTTAATTCTCACAGCAATCCCATACTGTGGGTACTATTAATCTTTTCATTCAGTAGATGTGGAAGTTCATCTCATGCTGAGAGAGATTTTAAAAACTTGCCCAAGGATGCACAGCTGTAAAATGAGTAACTTGGAATTTGAACTAACTTCAAAGTCCATGAACATTGTGCTAGATAGCCTCCCAGGAGATTTCATTTGCTGAGCACTCATTTGCTATCACTCTGCTAAGAGCTTTGTTTACATTATCTCATTAGAATATCGCAACAGCCTATAAGGTAGGTTTGATTATTCCATTTTGTAAAAGAAGAATCTGAGTGAATGCAGTCATCACCAGGCTGTTGTATCCAGTGATCCTCCAGCTAAAATCACTATTTGTCACCAACATGTGCAAAGTGAATGCTTAATAAGAGCAAGCTTTTTAGACAATATGTTTTATGATTACCATAATTGATGAACAGTGTACAAATACCCATACAGGGTACCCCTAGTTTCATGGAATACTAGACTCATGGTAAGCTCTTTCTCTTTTTCTCATTTTGGAGGTCAAAGTGGGCCCCTTCCTGATGTGTACCCACTTACATAGCCCTTACACTGAAGCCAATGGGGGGCTCAGGCATAAGTAAAACAGATGAGACTGCTGGGAATACAGTGGAAGGCGAAAATCAGCATACAGACTGTTGTGCTTGTGTTGATCCATGTTGATGTCTGATATGGCTATTCTTGTCTGTGTTTACATGTCCCATTCATCTGCTTCAACCAGACAGGGTTTTATTAATATTATTGATGGTTGCCATAACAACAAGCATGTGAATATATTCTAACTATGAAATTATTACAAGTATTTTGTTGATCACAGTCCATAAATTGCATCAGAGGGATGATCACCAGGGGTGAAGGGAGATGGAACAGGACATCACCGGATGGACACTTGCTTTGATCTCATGGGAGAAATTTACATAATGATGTCTCCTGAAAAAGGGGACATTTCCAGGGCCTTCCTCTGGAACTTCAGAGCTGTTTAACCCTTGGAGAAAAGCCAGTAACTCAACTGAAGACTCCTCCTAGACTAAAAACAGCATTCTGAGTTTGCATCCTCCATTTCCATCACTTTCTCCCTCCTAACCTTCTCAGTCTTTTCTGTATTCGGAACACTAATGGGACAAAGTCAAATACTGGAAATTGCGTGATTTTTCTTTGCTGCTTTTAGCTCTGGCTTCTTAGGTGAACATTCTCTTAGACAGCAGATACATGCTGAAATTTACACTAAATATCGTGATGAGGGAAAGAAGGAGTAAGATAGTGAATATGGAAGCCATGCAAAACAATCTCTGACATTGAGGAATTTGTGGTCTTTTTAAGGCTGACTGAGGAAGTTCTCAAGATCTGGGACTTTTGGTTTGAAATCCAGAAAAGTCTGGGACAAACCAGGATGAGTGAGTCACTCCATGAAGTGAATCTGGGAAATTCACTGCACCTACCTAGACCTCATTACTTCCAACTCTAAAAATAAATTTAAAAAATTAACTCCTTTGCCTTAATTTGCAGTAATCCATAGTAGATAGAAGAAGAAAAATGCATAAAATCTTTAAAAAGAAGTACAGAAAGGCCAGCCATCCTTGATCTTATAACATTGGCACCAGAGAGACAGGAAATTGGGCCTCCTTAGTAAAACACCTGAATGTCCATGACCTCAAAAACTTAACTTCTTTCTAGGTACACCTTGTCTCTTTGAGGAAATTAGAGAATCATTAAACAAATTGACTCCCTAAATGTACCTATGTGATTCCCAGGATGTACCTTACATGCTGGAAGTATCTGGTTCAATCAAAAGTGTAGAAACCAGTCTTAGAACTGCCAACACACAGCTGCATGTTTAGAATGAATGAGACATGATCAGTAAAACATTTTGATTACAAGGGACTACAACCTAAACACAGCAAAGAAGACACCAGATTGAAGTGTACCATTTCATGTGTTGGTTGAGAAGGAAGTGAGAGAAGGTAAGGGAACAGTCAGTATGGTCATTCTATGGTTGTTTCATACCACCATCCCTCTTTCTGAAAGATATGAGCAGTCCTTGGGCTTAGGGTCAGGCATTACCTATTTTCTCTAGAGAAATGGGACTGCTATGAGAATGAGAATTATAGACTGCTGGAGGGAAGGGATGTACTCACTCAAAGTACCTCCCCCACCACCTGCCAATTTAAAACATAGTTTTGGAGGGAAAATAAAGAAGCAGATTCTTCTCCTCCAAGATATTAGCAAGGACAATACTTTTCACCCTACCAGCTCAGCCAATAAAGAAAAAGACACTTTACACGAAGGGCTATCAGAGTTTATGGGCTTCAAGTGAATGAGGCCAAAGGGATAGCTGTTAACCACAAAGCCACAGATGACTCATCAGTTTGTTTTCTGTGTTCTGGTAGGCTTGGGACATGATATAGGCTAAATTGTGTCCCCCTAATAGATATGTTAAAATCCTAACTTCCAATACCTGTGAATATAACCTGATTTGAAAATAGTGTCCCTGAAGTTGTAATCAAATGAAGACGAAGTCATTCTGAATTAGGGTAGGTTGTAACCTAATAACTGTTGTCCTGATCAGAAGAGAAAATTTGGACACAGAGATACAGAAGAACACCATGTGAGGACAAACACAGAGATTAGGCCAATGCCTCCGAAACCGAAGGAATGCCAAGAATTGCTGGCAATCACCAGAAGCTGGGAGAGAGGCAAGGAACACACTGTCCGTCCCTCCAAAGGAACCCAACTGAACAGCAACTTCATGTTGGACTCTTGGCATCCAAAACTATGAAAGAATAAATTTCTGTTGTTTTAAGCCACCTAGTTTGTGATGATTTGTTATAGCACCCTAGGACACTAATATAGGCAGCAAGGGTCTCTCCTTGGTAAAGTAGTGAAAAGGTGCCTCTGGAAACTGGAATTCTTACCTGATTAATTATAGTCATATAATTTCATCTTGCTCCACTTCCCACCACCCTCCATATTTATGCTAGTGACTCAAATTTGAATCCTTCACTGGCTCCTCACAGCTTGCACAAGATAAAATCAGACCTACAAAGCGCTGACAGATGTGGACATCGTCCCATCTCTATAGCCCACTCTCTTGCCTTATTCACTATACTTGTAGTCCTTTGAATCTACCCTTCTTTTTCACACATTAGTGATTTCACACAGATGTGGTCTTTGCCAATATGAAGTGTAAAGACCCAACTCAAGTGTAACTTTCCTAGGAAGCTTTCCTTGAACCCTGTGGTATAAAGAGCTTGTCTGATCTTTGATCTCTGAATGTTCCCAGCACAAAGAAATGATCAATGTTTGAGGTGATGGAGATGCTAATCACCCTAATCTGATCACTATACATGATATATATCAAAACATCACTAGGTACCCCATGAATATGTACGATTATTATTTTCCAATTTAAAAATAAATAAATAACTTTTATTAAAAACTCTTGGGATTTTCTAATTGTTAGGAGTGTCTTTGTTATGCTAATGATGTAACTCATGGTGGGCCCATAAATAGCTTCAGGATGGGGACTCATCACCAGAAGAAGGTTGGCACTTTCAGCCACTGGACCTCCAGAGAGGAGAGCAGGACTGGAGATTTAGCTCAGTCACATGGGCAATGACTTAATCAATAATATCTATGTAACGAAATCCAACAAAAACTCTAGATATGGAGGCTTACAGAACTTCTTGGTTGTTGAACAAATTGTTATGCCAAGAATGTAATGGACCCTGACTCTACCAGGACAGAATGTAGAAGCTCTTCAGTCCCTCCCAGACCTCACACTATGTATGCCCTATATAATAAAACTGTAATCATAACACTTTAAAAAATTCTGCAAGTTATTCTAGCAAATTATCAAATCAGCGGGAGTGATGGAAACCACCAAATTTATATCAGTCAGAAGCACAGGTTATCTGGAGACCTCCCAAAGTACAGCAGGACCCTGAAGGGGAGTATTGTAGAAAACATGCTTTAACTTGGGGAGTCTGATACTAACTTCAGATGGTTAGTATCAGAATGATATTATCATCATCAGAATGATACAATCAGTAGAACCATACTGCACCCAGTTGGGTTTTGAAACAGAACAACCCTCTATTTCTTCTCTCCACCTCTCCTCCAGTTAGTGATACAGTGTGCGCCGGTTTTGCATGACCACAAGGCATCCTCCTCCATAATCAACCCATGTTGTTTGAGTGAGGCTAATCCCATTCTTTCAGCACCAGGGTAAGTATTTGACTCAGACCCAGACTGGCCAATGAGAGTATTCCAATTCCCCTTGTTGCTTTAGGATAGGCATGGGATTCAAGTTAGTACAGTGAGAGTAACTTGACAGAAAAAATCCTCTTTCCATTAGGGGTGCTAAGCTTAGAAGAAGTGAGACTACAAATGTCTGATCCATCCTTGGCACCACTCAGGGACTGTCTGAAAATGATGTCAATGCAAAAGAAGAAAGAGCCTAGAGACACTGTCCGGAGTATTTGAGATCCTGAATATATCTGTGTTTGAAACCAAAAATACCTTCTGGACCTTCTAATTATGTGAATCAGTAAATTATCTCTTTTCTTCAAATTGGTTTAAGCTAAGAGTTCTGTCACTTGAAATGAAAAGGATCCTGACAATAGACCATCTTCCAATGCACACCCATGGCACTCATTTCTACCATCACACTCAATATAACTGCTGATTTGTTTACCTGCGCAGCTCTAGACCGGAGAGCTAGAGAGAATAGCAACTAAGTCATACTTTTATCTTTAATGCCACAATGCCCAACTCAGAGCCTAGAATAGTAGTGTCCTGTGAATGTTTTTGAATAAATGTTGGGGAACTAAACACCTCTGTTACACATGCTCATTTCTGCCCTTCAGGCATCCTTTTCTCCCTCTCACCTTCACCCCTAGCCTAGCCTCATTCACAGGGTAACAGAGGGAAAAAGGGAAAGTGTAGAAGTTGAAAGAATTGAATTGCAGCCCTGGTTCGCTTTTTTAGATGTGTAACCTTGGATGATTCTCTTATCTCTCTTTGGCCTCAGTTTATTCATCTGTAAAGTGAACAATATCTGAAGATCCCATAAGGGAAAACCTTTCTTGACTCTAATACCTGCTAAGTCTTTAATTAAAAACTAAAGCATTGGCCGGGCGTGGTGGCTCACACATAATCCCAGCACTTTGGGAGGCTGAGGTGGGTGGATCACCTGAGTTCGGTAGTTAGAGACCAGCCTGACCAACATGGAGAAACCCCATCTCTGCTAAAACCACAAAATTAGCCGGGCGTGGTGGTGCATGCCTGTAATCCCAGCTACTTGGGAGACTGAGGCAGGAGAAATGCTTGAACCCGGGAGGCGGAGGTTGTGGTGAGCTGAGATCGCACCTTTGTACTCCAGCCTGGGCAACAAGAGTGAAACTCCATCTCAAAAAAAAAAAAAAAAAACTAAAGCATTAACTATTAAGGACTGAGCTTTGAGTTTCACTGGAATTCCTGCATTTTAATAAATGAAGACTGAGAAACCTTAAAGGATTAAAGAGGTGAAGCTACAAAGGTGGAATGACAGACTCCACCTCTCATTCTAGAGATACATATTTGAGAGGTGTGCCAAACTCAGTGGCCCCACACTTCACATAATCCTTGGGATTCACTATTGAAACCACCACTGGAGAGATATAGGCCAGGACTAACTGCAAAAGATGAAACCTGATATCAAGTCTATTCAGCATGTGCACTTACACCCACTCCATTTCAAATTGTCAGTATGAAACCATAAATCAGAACTTGCCCCAAATCCACCGATTGGATAAATAGTTGATTCCATGACATTGACACTGTGGTCCCAAGCCACAAAGGAAAGCATCTGTCACAAGAAAAAGATGGTAAGACCCAATGAAGGAAGCAGGATAAACTATGTCTCTCAACTCTTAACAAACAGGAATAAGACCTAGACATACTGTCCACTTGGGAGATTGCCTTGGGCCTCCAGCCTCTTATTACTTACTTCTTTTTTTCCTCAGGGTATAAACTTAAGTGTCATTATTTTAGTCCAAATTCTCCTCAAGCATAACACTATGGAAGAATTTCAAGAGAGGAACCATTGAAAATGATGAGTGTAATAAATCTGGTGTCCTCGGCTCCACCTTCCAGACTGAGTCCAGACTTACCTTCCAAACTGAGTCCTGCACCAAGAAAGTGATGTTTGGAGTCTGCTTTTGTTCCAACCAAACCCAGAGGTCATGCCTAGAGGAGGAAAAGTAAGTGGAGGCCAAGAGAATCATCTCAATTGTTCAGGCCCTGGATTGCTCCTGCCATCCTCCTAGGGCTCCTGAAAGGGTGGCTATTGAAGAGGAGAGGAGGGCATAGGGAGCAAGGGAGATTCTTTTCAAATTTTCCAAACCTGATTATTATGCACTTTTCACACTTTCCCTATGAACAGACAACAAATGACATGACCAGGAGAGTCCGAGGGATAGTCATAAAGTACATGTCATATACAGGACTGCTCATGAGAAAATAATATATTAAAACTCCGGGGAGAAACTACCGGTCCCCCTCAAAAAACTCCACCACCCAAGCACACTAGATGCCATTCTATCCACTGTTAAGCTCTAACTTCATGGTTTAAGAACCTTAATTTCTGTTATAACTATGCATATACTCCTAGGCTTAACATTTAAGCCAGTATCAGCTACTTCAACCACAAGGTAAATTAATTTCTATCCGTTGCTAACATAACTTTGATGAGTGAGGGAAGCCAAGAAGGAAAGAGAAAAGGGAAGAAAAGAAAGGGGAAAAGAAGGGAAAGGAGAAAGAGAGCAATAGGAAATGAACCTGTGCACAAAAATAAGAATAAAGGCTGAGATTATTGCCTTCATAACGTTGCAAAAAGTATTTGTCCTATTAAGGCAAAATCAAAATTTTAAAATATGACCCTTTGAGAATATCTACCGAAGAGTACCTACAAATCAACTAAGAATCATCCCTGGAGAGAACCCTACACTCCTGCGTTAGAATCACAAGAATTACTCCTTTTATCTCCAAACATCTCCAGAATTATCTAATTTCTGAACTGTTCCTCTTTTCTTCCTCCACCAGGCATAATCTGGGATTATTTCAGAGAGAATTAAGCATCTCCCTAACAAATCTTGCCTCTCTGACACAAGCTGTGGGAGGCTCCAGGTCATTGCTCCGAGATTTGCAGCGTTTGGGCTACTACAATTCAGTTCTCCATTCTGCAACTTCTAAAGAAACAACCTGAAAAAAGAAAAGCTAGCAGAATCCTTCAACTGTAGGAAGAACTGCCAACTTTCTCTTGGGGTAAGGGCACCCTCTGGCGGTGAGTGTCTGTATGTGGCCTAACAGCACCATCTCTGAGATACGCAGTTCCTTAAGTGAGCCAAACGTGAGCCAACTGTAATCCTTCCAGATAGAAACTATTCCAGGATTTCTCTAGGTAGCAAAATGATCTACTGAACTCAAAATTATAACATTTGGGTTTACAATCTTGCACTATTACTAGTGTGTGATGTTTGCCTAATCACCTCTCTTAGCCTCACTTCTATTAAATTTAGGAATACAATGCCAACATTAGGATCAAATGAAAATACCTACTATTCAGTAAAGTACTATATACGTTAAAACAAGACATACTATTATGGATTATCAAATAGATACAGATCTCAGATTCAAATACAAAGTTCTTAATACTATATTCTTATCCTGCTAGCCTTGTCATGTTACCCTTACAAATCCTGTTTTGCTTTGTTTTGTTTGAGACCAGGTCTCACTCTGTCTCCCAGGCTGGAGTGCAACAGCATAAACATGGCTCACTGCAGCCTCAACTTTCTGAGGTCAAGCAGTCCTTCTTCCTCAGCCTCCCGAGGAGCTGGGACCACGGGCACGTATCACCACATCTGGCTATACAAATATTTTATAATGATAGTTTTCTTCTGGATGCCTGCCTTTGACCTTCACCTAGTTCCTTGTCATTCTATGTCCATGTCACTGCTGCAGCCTGATGTTTCTGCCTCCAGTTTCTCCTCCAAACTGCCTTGCCAACTGCTCTATTAACCTTCATGTCTGTGTTCACCAAGCCACTCCCCAGCTTTGGACCTAATGACAACTTCGCATGACCTGGAGAAGGAATTTAAAAGAACAAAAGATAGCCTGAACAAGCAGACCTTCAACAGCATAGCCAGAGTCCACCTGGCAGTCCTCCACATCTTCCATCCTGGGATCCTTAAGGTGATTGATTTTGTGCCTTTTCCTTCTTTTCTGCCGATTATCAGGTAATCCCTGATAAGGGATACAGGGCTTTTATTATCTGGCCCCTACGTACCTCTCCTACCTCATCCTGCTCTGCTGTTTTATATAGACACTACATTCCACCCAAACCAATCTCCTAATACTTCTGTTTATCATGCCTACATGTCTTTGTACATGAGTTTCCTTTGCCTAAAGCAAATTTACCACACTCTGTTTAATCCTTACTCACTCTTAAACACTCAACACCAGCTTGAACATCTCCTGGAGGCCTCCATTCCCTCTTTCCCACCTCCAAGTTTAGGTTGGGCATATCTTCCCTAACCTATCATATCACTTATCATAGAACCCTATCATAGCACTTATCACATTTTCTATTCTAATTGTCTTTTACTTGTCTCTCTTCCCCGATCGCCTAGCATAATACTTGGCATTCAATAAATAGACACTCAAGATAATTTGATGAATAAATAATGACTTCTATGTTATCAAACTTAAAGGCCACCTTTTTGTTCTGCTCTTACTTGATGTCTCAACAGCACTGGTTAAGTACTCCACTTTGTGTCTTTAGCGTTTATGACACCATATCCTCTTGCTTTTCTCCCAGCTCTGTCTCCTCTGCTGGAATTCTACATGTTGGAGTGTCCAGGGCTCTGGCTTGAGCCTGCATTTTCCTCTGGGTTCGTGTTCTCCCTAGGTGACTTTTTTTTTTGATATCATAGATTTAAATGCCACAAATATATGTTGATGACCACTAACTTTTGTGTCATACTTTTCTCAAAAACCCTAGATTCATATATTAGATAGCTTTGATAGATTCTTATTACATATAGCTGTGGTCTAAATGTTGGTGTCTCCCTAAAATTCATATGTTGGAATTGAATACCCAATGTGATAGTATTAAGAGATAGAGCATTTTAAGACATGATTAAATCAGGGAGCTCTGTCCTCATGAATGGTATTGGTGTCCTTATTAAAGAGGCTGAGTTTTAGCCAAAGGAATTAGGCAGGAAAAAAAAAATAAAGGGCATCCAAATTGGAAAGGAGAAAGTCAAATTGTCCTTGTTTGGAGATGACATGATCTTACATACAGAAAACCTTAAATATGTCACCAAAAAAACTCTTAGAATTGATAAATGAATTCAATAAAGTTGTAAGATACAAAATCAACACATAAAAATCAGTAGCATTTCTATACACCAAGGATAAACTAGCTGTAAAAGAAATTTAAAAGCAATCTCATTTATGGCTGGGCAGGGTGGCTTATGCCTATAATACCAGCACTTTGGGAGGCTGAGGCAAGTGGGTCATTTGAGGTCAGGAGTTCGAGACCAATGTGACCAACATGGCAAAACTGTATCTCTACTGAAAATACAAAAATTAGCCAGGTGTGGTGGTGGGTGCCTGTAATCCCAGCTACTTGGGAGGCTGAGGTGGAAGAATCACTTGAACCCTGGAGACAGAAGTTGCAGTGAGCTGTGCCATTGCACTGCAGCCTGGGCAACAGTGTAAGACTCCATCTTAAAAAATAAAAATAAAAAAAAATTAAAGCAATCCCATTTGCAATAGCTACAAAAAGTAACAAAATACCTACAAATAAATTTAACCAACGAGATGAAAGATATCTACAAGAAAAACTATAAAACATCAGTGTTCATGGATTGGAAGAATTAATATTGTAAAAATGACCATATTACCAAAAGCAATCTACAGATTCAATGAACTCCATCAAAATACCGATGATACTCTTCACAGAAATAGAAAAAGAACAATTCTAAAATTCATACGGAACCACAAAAGACTCCAGATAGCTAACACAATTCTGAGCAAAAAGAACAATGCTGGAGACATCACATTACATTACATCACATCACATTACCTGACTTGAAAATATACTAAAAGCATGATACCGGCATAAAAACAGATACACAGACCAATAGAACAGAATATAGAACTCAGAAATGAATCAGCATATTTATAGCCATCTGATTTTTGGCAAAGGCTCCAAGAACATTTGCTCAGGAAAGGACCGTCTCTTTAATTAATAGTGCTGGGAAAACTGAATATCCATATGTAGAAGAATAAAATTAAACTCCTATCTCTCATCATCTACAAAACATCAACTCAAAATAAATTAAAGACCCAAACTATGAAACTACTGGAAGGAAACATAGGGAAAACACATCAGGACATGGGTCTGGACAAGATTCTATCAACAAAACCACAATAGCATAAGCAACAAAAGCAAAAATAGCCAAATGGGATTACATCAAACTAAAAAACTGCTACACAGCAAAGGAAACAACACACTGAAGAAACAACATGCAGAATGGGAAGAAAATACTTGCAAACTATTCATCCAACAAGGGACTAATATATGGAATACAAGGAATTAAAAAAACTCAACATCAAAACACACAGACAGACACACACACACACACACACACACACACACAATAATCTGACTGAAAAGTGAGCAAAGGATCTGAATAGACATTTCTTAAAAGAAGACATATGAATGGCCCACAGGTATATGAAAAAAATTGCTTAACACCCCTAATCATCAGGAAAGTGAAAATCAAAACCATAGTGAGATATAGTCTCACCCCAGATAAAATGGGTATTATCCAAAGAAACAAAAAATAACAAATGCTGACAAAGATACAGAGAAAGGAGAGCTCTGATACATTATTGGTGAGAATGTAGATTAGCACAGTCATTATGAAAAACAGCATGGAGATTCCTCAAAAAACTAAAAATAGCACTACCATATCATCCAATAACCCCTCACTGGATGTATATCCAAAGAAAAGGTAATCAGTATGTTGAAGAGATATCTGCAGCCCCAGCTATTGCAGCACTATTCACAATATCCAAGATATAGAAACAATCTAAGTGTCCATCAGTGGAGGAATGGGTAAGAAAAATGTGGTATATATACACAATGTAATACTATTCAGGCATAAAAAAGAAGGAAACCCTGTCCTTGCAGCAACATGGATGAGCTTGGAGGACATTTTGTTAAGTAACATAAGCCAGACACAGAAAGATAAGTACCACATGTTCTCACTCATAGAAGCAGAGAGTGAAATAGCAGTTATGAGAGGCCGATGGGGGACAGTGAGAGGTTGGTTAATGAATAAAAAATTATAGCTAGATAGGAGAAATAAGTGCTCATATTCTATAGCACTGTAGGGTGACTATAATTAACAACAACTTATAATACATTTTCTTGTTTACTTTTTCTTTTCTTTTCCGTGTGTGTGTGTGTGTGTGTGTGTGTGTGTGTGTGTGTGTGACAGGGTTTTACTCTGTGGCCCAAGCTGGAGTGCAGTGGTACAACCAGAGCTCACTGCAGCCTCAAACTCCTGGGGGCAAGCAATCTTCCTGCCTCAACCTCCTGTGTAGCCAGAACTACAGGCATGCACCTGTAGAGGTAGGGGTCTGGCTATCTTTCTCAGGCTGGTCTTGAACTCCTGGCCTCAAGTGATTCTCTCACCTCGGCCTCCCAAAGTGCTGAGATTACAGGTATGAGACACCACACCTGACTTAATGTATATTTTTAAATAGCTAGAAATGCAAATTTTGAATGTTACCAACACAAAGAAATAATAAATGTTAGAGGTTATTTATATGCTAATTACCCTGATTTGACTATTATAGCTTATGCACTGTATATATGTATCAAAGTATCCTACTATAGCCCATAAATATGAACAATTATTATGTGTTAATTAAAAGTATTAATAAAAGCAAAATAAAAGAGATTGAAGAGAGCTGCCTTGCCCTCTTCTACCATATGAGGATGTAGCAAAAAGGCTCCATTTTTGAAGCAGAGAGCAAGCCCTTACCAGACTCTGAAGATGCTGGTGCTTTGATCTTGGACTTTCCAACCTCCAGAACTATGATCAATACATTTATACTGTTTATAAATTACCCAGTCTAAGGTATTTTGTTATAGCAGCCCAAATGGGCTGACACACATGGATCTTAAATTAAACATTGTCAAAACAGAACTCTAATTTCAATCCCCCATTCTAAATTTACCCTTGTCTTGAGCTTTTCCATTTCAGTAAATGAACCCAGAATCCACCCTGATGCTCAAGTCAAAACTCAACAAATTATCCTTAATCCTCTGTCATTTCCCTACCTCTCAATCCATCACCAAACTCTATTAAATTCCACCTTCAAAATTTTCCAATCCTATCACTCCTCTCTACCCCACTGATATGGCCTTCTTCTAAGCCACCACCATCTCTGTTAGTGCCTTCTAACCAGCCTCCTTGAGTCCATTTGTTCTCTCCCATCAACTTTTCACATTCCAGCCAGAGTGAACTGAAAAAGGCATGTTGGAAGGCTACAAAAGAGATGTTGGTGTGAATTTTGACCATTTGAGTAAAACAGTGTCTTCCAGATTTCTCTATAGTAAAATTACTATTTATCTTTGAAATTAATAAATAGTCTGTGGGAGAATAATTTGATACTATGTAAAATCCCATTTCTGACCCCATTTTTACCCACTAGTTTTAGTATTCCTTGATGTCTCTTGTCTAAATTAATTATCCCTCTGATGGCTGCCATTGGTAATTGTCTAATACCATTATCCCTCCTACATTTATTAGTTATCTTTCTACCATAAGGAAGAGCTTTCTCTGCTCCCCATTTATTTATTCATGTATATCAATGTGGAGTCATCACTTCCCGTTCTATTCAGTAGGTTATAATCTGTAATTATCAAGATTTATTTTGATGCACTATTGTCCTAGATTTGGTCCATAGGTGCCTCTTTTCTGTGTCCTTTCCAACTGTCCATCTTCTTTTAGCATTTTCTTCTTTCTAACACAACGAACTAGTCTAGGTACATCTTCTACTTTCCCTGCCCCACTGCTGGAATCCACCATTTCTTCAAGTGGAGAGTGGTTTTTGGAAACCAAAATATGAGCTTTATCATATTAGGGTATTGCTGTTCCCAGTTCCTTCCAGTGGGCATAAATAGAAAATACATGCACATGTAAACATACATATATATTCATATGCATATATATACCTTTATATGTATGTATATACATGAATATATATGCATGTGCACATACACAGACACACACACTCACACTTATTTTATGTATATATTCATAATTTCTTGTCAATACTCCAACCCAACACCACATGGTCCATTGCATTCTAGTTTTGCCCCTTTCCATATTTTTTCTTCCTTTTCTGATGGCGAAAAAAAAAATGTTTTCAAACTTCCATTTTTATGCTAATCTCCTGACCCTGCCAGGTGCTGCCTCTTCTGGCCAGGACTCTGGCCACTACTTGTGCCTGCCTACCAGCCCTGTTTTTTGCTATCCTCACACACATCACTATATTTTAATTATCTGAAAAGTACTTATTTTCAGTCTACCCTTTCTAGAATGTAAGAGTATCTCCAGCACCAAATACAATATTTGGTGCATGGTATGTCCCCATTAAATATTTGTTGAATGTGTGAATGAACTCATGCATGCATGCTGCACCTGCAGGATCCTGAAGTAAATATTAGCTGGGGAATCATGGGTGGAAGGCGAAGGAAGAAGTGGCACATCGGTGATAATAACACTGAAGCAGGTCCTGAAGTCTAAATTCCAGGAAAGTGAGCAAACAATGTTTTTTCATGGGCCTTTCTTCATAGGAAGATCACCATGGAGAAAAACAAGTAAAAATCTTCATATATTTGAGTAGTTAAAATAAAAAGGATGAATGTGTTCCAGAAAGCATGGCTCCCAAAAACACGGACAGCAGTCTGTAGAAAGAGAGAGAACTTCCAAAGCCAAACAAGAACAATATGCACAATGAATGACAAGAAGGGCTTCCCCAGGATAGATGATCTCCAAAAAGTTAGAGAAAAGAAAAACAAAAGTGAGAGTACAAATGAAAAAGAACAAACAGAAAGCTCCTGAAAATGGACCTGCCAGCCAAGCTAGTGAGACCTCTTAGCCACCTCGGAAGACCAGAGCCCAAATGGACCCCACAGTTGAAAACAAAAAATCATTTATGAACAGAGGTGAAGTTAAAAGTTCCTGAATAACCAAAACTATGACCTATTGATGATAGGAACTTAGTTACAGACATGGTTTCCTTTATCTTCCTTCCAAGAGAAGAATGTAGAGTCATTCATGAGGATTATGCAAATTAGAAGAAATCTCAAGGAAATACAGACAGTAAGGAGTATATTGTTAGTAAAATTATGACATATATAAAGTATACTCAATATAATGTTGAGCACTCAGCCACTCTACAATTTTGAGACCACAGTATTCCAAAAACCTTACAGATCTCCCTGATGTACCCTTGCCCTAGATTGATGGAACACCACATCTAATGAGGCAATTTATATGAATCCAAGCAATATTAGCCAATGCGCCTCTGGATAAGAAGACCATTGCTTTAATATTAAACTATCTGCATTATTTTCAAAGTATCTGACAGAGATTTTTTTTTCAACTTCATATAGTGCCAACAATTATGAGTGTGGTTCCTCCTGAGTATCATCATTAAGGTATGATCTACTGACACTCACTTATGTGTGCACCTCAGTAATGGCCTGAAAAATGTTTAACAACCAGCTCTTCATTGTGGATAGGGAAGGAGAGCTGATTTGCAACATTTGCCAATATCTGAGGTGAAATACTCCTACCATGATGAATTTCAAGATATAGTCATGATGTCACTGAACAGGGAGTTGGGAGGAGATACACACAATCACTTCTTGTGGGTTAACTCCACTCATCTCCAGCCCACCATTGCCTATAAATATATTTTTATTCTTGATCCTTCTTTTTTACAAATGATGTACTTCAAAATTGCTTGTGTATAGTAGGAGTGATGTTTAAGCCTGCTTTCTATTTGCTTTTAAACAGAAAGTAAATACCAATAATTACTAACTGAAATGGTATCTGAAAGACAAGCCATCACATAAAAAAGGATGCAGTTCCTTTTCTCATCTCATACTTGCTATCTATGTATAAAATGATGAACTAAGAGTTTTATTATATAGCTGTCAAAGCTGCTTTTGTAATGTTGGTGGTCTGACCCCTTTTACAACATGTATTTTATAGTATGTGTTAACACTATGTGAAAAATGCTCTCATTTCTAGTGTCTAAGATTCAATTCAATATATGTAATTGAAAATTAATCCTTTTGTGCTCGTTTTTAAAGGTCCTTAAAGTAAAGGCCCTTCCTTTGTAAGTCATTTATTTTGTTTCTTATACACTTTATCTTTGCTAAGATTACTGAAAAATAATAATATGCGTTATGCTTTTAGGTATAATGTGTTAATACATAGTTACAGTTTTCTGGAAAATTTCCTTTTTAGCAATTGCTCTGATATTGAATATTTTTCATTAAATTATACATACAGGGTGGGGGGGTGCTGTGTGTGGTTAGGTGTGGGTGTATGTGTGTTCAATTTCCTCTTGCTTCCTCTATGGGGGTCAGTCAAAAGAGCCAGACCTGAATATACAATAACACCATTTTCATATTAACGTGTGAGAATGCTGTTACCAAAATCCTAAAGAAAATAAGCTTCTGAACTAATATAAAGCAATCTCTTAGCTGCCAGAATCATGAGTCTTCTAATTATAATAGCCCTCATTTTTACAATGATATATAGTTTTCAAAGAACTTATAAATGCATTATGTCTTCTTTTGCCAAAGTATGCCTCGAATCTAAGGTGGAAAATTCTCTATTTGCATCATCCAAAGTCTTGGTCGAAAAGCTTCCAAAAGAACACTAAAACACATGCTAAGTGTTTAAGATTGAAGCAGAGAATGAAGCAGTTAGCTGTGCACTTCAATCTTGGCTTTAATGAAGTGGATATATAATATTAGGAGAGAAAATCTCACAAATAACTATCATTGCAATTTGTCTAAAACAGCATAAATCATTGTCTCATCACACACAAAAATAGCAACCTCACTGTATGGTGCATGTAGTTGATCTACATAGCAAACAGAGAAAGGCCAAGAGAAATCAATTTTTGGAAGTTGCTGTAGACCCTTAGAATATGACAGGATTATGGTATAAATAATGAGATTTCACGTTTAACTCATTAAACCTTAAGCATCCATACCAATCTCCTAGACAACGCTGAGGCACAGTACAAGGTGAAACATGAAATAATGGAAAGAAGGAATTTATGTGACTTGACCTCAAACTGCAAAGGCAGTGAAAACTGGCACCTAGAATCTCTGTCGTGGAGCTGTGGCTTGTAAAGACAGCTGCTGGGATTTTGGAGCTAGGTTCACTGTGTGGCATTACAACCAACCAGTGGCAAGTCTTCATCTGCCGCTGAGAATATTGCCTAATGTGAATGGTTCGTTTTGAACCAATATTTATAGAGAATCTAGCATGTGCAAGGTTCAGAGAAATTCCGAAATACCCCTTCCTTTCAATGACAACAAGGTCTTATTGAGGAGCTAAAGCAATCACCCATTTAAAAGTAACTACTCACAGAAGGATATTACAAGTTTCAGGTAAGGAGAGTCAGTTCAGAGAGAATGTCCAAGAAAAGCTCCAGGAAGAACACGGAAGTTGATCTGGATCTTGAAGGGAAGCTGGGCTCAGATGGACAAAGAAAAGCTAGGAATGATTTTGAGGCAAACTGGAGCAAGCATGTAGAGATGGAACCAAGCAGCAGGGTCATGGGGAACGTTAAGCAAACTGCAGCAGAGATGCTGAGGCTTCTTTTACAACCAATGGTGAAAATCCATAGGACAGATGTTTTTTAAGCAAAGTCTCTTCCTCTGCCCACTGAAGCATGAAAATCTGAAGACTGGCTGTACACAAAGGCCCGCAGCCTTGAAGCATTCTAGTTCCTTAATAGCACTGTGAAGAGTGACTAGCAAAATATAAACCAACTATAGAAAATGTCAAGAATTTCTGAGTTCTTTCTAATAAGCATTACAGAAGGGAGAAAATATTGTAAACCGCATTCCATTCTATAGACCACTTAAGAAGAAAGAGCCCTAAGAGGAGAAAGAAGACCATCTTGTGCTAATAATGATAATGATGATGATGATAACAATGACACTCAGAATTTAGAGTCTATAATATTCCAGGAATCATGCTGTATCTATACTATTTCATGTTATTCTCACAGAAACCTCATGCTATTTACTATTAAACAGGAATTTTGGTAATAATATAAAACTGACTCAAAATAGCCTAGCAACAAAGGAAATTTGTTGTCTTGCAGAACCAGAACATCCAGGGGTAGATATTCCTGGCTTCAGAAAGGCTGAATCCATGAGATTAAACAATGCTATCAGGATTTGTCACTGTTTTCATCTCTCAGCTCTATTTTGCTGTGAGTGTGGGCTGCATTCAGAGTCACTCTTGACATACCTAGCTAGGGAAATTGCTGCTTGAAACTCCAAGCTTACATGCCCATGCTGAGAGGTCAAAGGGAAAGAGTCTCTCTCTTGCTCATGCCCTCCCTCTTGCTTTAGCGGGAGGGCTGTGAATGCCTCTGCTAAGTCATATGCGCAACACTCAGACCAGGCACTCTAAGGGCCAGGCTTGAGTCGTGTGATCATCCCTTTGCACCAGAGATCATCAGATAGTGGGATTGGCAGACCAACAGGTGCCATACGAGTTCCCAGTGGAAAGAAAGCTGCCAGGCAAATGTCCACTACAGGGAAACACTAATATTTTTCGTATTTAGCAATGAGAAAATTAAGGCATAGGGTGGTTGGGTTTAAAAGCAGGCTTTGGAATAAGACAGCCCGTTGCTAAGTCACTGGCTGTTAAGATAAGAAGCTTAGTGTCCTAAGCACTAGGCCCCTGTTAATAATAAAGCCCAGGCTGCACAAAGTGTTCTCCTTAGTCACCTTTATCACCCAGCTCATAATGTTGAGCTGACCGCTTTACCTGCCTGCCTCCCTCACTCATTTTTATATTATCCCATCTTTACAGCTGCAGGCCCTGGTACATCACTTGACATAGCAGACATTCAACAAATATTTGTTAAACAGAATTGATGTATCTCCTTGGAATTTTGTACAAAGACTCCTGCTATAATAAATAATTCATAGGGGAAAGCAATAAAACTATCTTGATGATGTAGTATGGTGATAATGACAGGATAAAAAAGCAAAAACGAGAAGTGATAGTAATTCACTGTCCATATTTTCTGAGTTAAAAAAATAGAAAAAAAAAAGAGGAGCTCAGGAGGTAAGATTATCATGTAGCATAAATTACTTTTCAAATTAACATAACCCTTCAAGCCAGTGCCTCAGCTCTCATTCTGTCAGATTGCTTAATTATGACATCCCTGTTCCCCAATTAAAGGCTAATTAAGGTTGTCAGCACCTTTCTAGAATATTAACCATTTTATTTTTTAAAAAGCGAGGCTTTATTAAATGGAAATCCTTCATAGAAAAGCAGTAATTTTAATGACTTATTGCTTTCTCATTCATTTGACTATATCATACTAGACATTACCTTTAGTCTGATCAAAAGTTTAAGATGGACTTTACTACAGTCAAGCAACTGTGCTTAGGCTTAAAAACCTTCTGTTAGAAGTATACTAACATAACTAGAAGTATACTAACATAATATCTACTGGTTCTATGAGCAGAAATTTCTCTTCTGTCCTACAAAATAATTTTGTGCTCTCAGACTTCCATTTTCCCCTGTAGTACTCCATATACTTCATCTCTATTTGAGTGTGAAGATGGGTACAGGGTAACTTTAATTTTTCCTACTTGACTTGTCCTCTTTCCTAGAAACTCTCCATTTCCAGCCACCCTGGGATTTCCCTTTACACTCCACCTGTCCTAACTCTGCACTCTACCCTACTGTGGGACAAGCTTATGAATGTTTATGGGACTGCCTGCAGCAGATCATTGGTGCCAAACAAGAACATCTATTTTATCCTCTCCCTTCTCCTGACCTTCTGTGCCCACTTCCTGCTGGACTCAGGCATTTCTTCTGTCCAGAGGGTTTCTATGTTATGCATTGCCTGCAGAATCATCTGATCTTCAGTCTGCCAGTGAGTTTATTTCCAGAAAAAGGATTCGTCACTTAAATGTGCTTTAAGCAATTCAGTTGGACCCTTATGGTAAAGAAGTATTTGCCTAAAAGGGCCCTTTTTGTGAAATCTAAAAGCTGGTTGGCAGTCACATCCCCTTTTGATCATATTTTTTCCAAGGTTCTTATTCTTCCATTTTTATCATCAGTAACTAGTGAAGAAAAAAAGGAAAGCTTAATTGGAATCCAGGAGAAGCCTGCATGTTTCTTCAGAGCAAGAATCTAGAATTTCTTTTAGAAAGCCAATGCTCGTGTACTCATTGTCCTCATTCCCATGACTTCCACTGCCACCACTCCAGACTTTGACTTGCGAATTTAGGAATCTCTTGGTATCTTTGCTTAATTCTTTCTGAGCTCAAGTATTTCTTTCACCAGATAGTTTTATGAGTTGATAACATTTGAGTTCAATAGGCTTTGAAAGGCCAGAGTGGGAACTCAATCGCTACTTGCAACACCACTCCTATGGAGAAATGTGTTATGAATGCACAGAAATAAATGTGAAGCAATAGGAATATGTCTCCCTACCTGGTCTCCACAGTCAGTCCCTACTCTGGAAGGCCCTGGACACCCAGCAGCAGTAAGGGGGAACACAGCAGTTCATTTGCTCACTATTCCTTCATACGCCTTCCTTGTTAGTTCAATTTTCTTTTCCTGAATTATATCCTTCAGTAGTTCCTTTAGTTAGGTTTTTTGATGCTAAGTTCTTTTACTTTTATTTTGTCTGAAAATGTGTTTTTGTTTTTGCAAGGGAATTTGTTAGTAAAAGAGTTTAGCTGGTTATAGAATTTAAGTTAATTTTGTTTTCTCTTAGCACTTTGATGATATTATTCCACTGTCTTCTAGTACATTAACTTTCTTTTTAGTCTTATCTAATATATTTAATATATTATCTATATTCTTTCTGTCTTTGATGTTCTGTAGTTTCACTAAGCTCTCTCTATGTGTGGATTTATCTTATTTATTCTGCCAGGAACCTGGTTGTGCTTCTTAAATATTAGGACTTATGTTTTTGTTTTTGTTTTTTTAATCAATGCTGAAAAAATTATTAGCTGCTCTATCTTTGAATATTACCCCTCCTCCATTCTCTTTATTCTTTCTTACTAAAACTCCTAGTAGATATGTTTTATTTTCTTATACCTTCAATGTCGCTTGATGTTTTCTATTTTACATTTTCTTTCTTTTTTTTTTTATTATGCTTTAAGTTCCAGGGTACATGTGCACAACGTGTAGGTTTGTTACATAGGTATACATGTGCCATGTTGGCTTGCTACACCCATCATTTACATTAGGTATTTCTCCTAATGCTATCCCTCCCCCCTCTCCCCACCCCCCAACCTGCCCCAGTGTGTGATGTTCCCCACCATGTGTACATGTGTTCTCATTGTTCAATTCCCACCTATGAGTGAGAACATGAAGTTTTTGGCTTTCTGTCCATGTGATAGCTTGCTGAGAATGACGGTTTCCAGCTTCATCCATGTCCCTGCAAAGGACATGAATTCATCCTTTTTTATGGCTGTATAGTATTCCATGGTGTATATGTGCCATATTTTCTTAATCCAGTCTACCATTGATAGACATTTGGGTTGGTTCCAAGTCTTTGCTATTGTGAATAGTGCTGCAATAAACATACATGTGCATGTGTCTTTATAGTAGAATGATTTATAATCCTTTGGGTATATATCCAGTAATGGGATCGCTGGGTCAAATGGTATTTCTAATTCTAGATCCTTGAGTAATCGCCACACTGTCTTCCGCAATGGTAGAACTAATTTACACTCCCACCAACAGTGTAAAAGTGTTCCTATTTCTCCACATCCTCTCCAGCATCTGTTGTTTCCTGACTTTTTAATGATCACCATTCTAACTGGTGTGAGATGTTATCTCATTTGCATTTCTCTGATGACCAGTGATGATTAGCACTTTTTCATATGTCTGTTGGCTGCATAAATGTCTTCTTTTGAGAAGTGTCTGTTCATATCCTTCACCCACTTGTTGATGGGGTTGTTTGTTTTTTTCTTGTAAATTTGTTTAAGTTCTTTGTAGATTCTGGATATTAGCCCTTTGTCAGATGGGTAGATTGCAAAAATTTTCTCCCATTCTGTAGGTTGCCTGTTCACTCTGATGGTAGTTTCTTCTGCTGTACAGAAGCTCTTTAGTTTAATTAGATCCCATTTGTCAATTTTGGCTTTTGTTGCCATTGCTTTTGGTGTTTTAGTCATGAAGTCTTTCCCCATCACTATGTCCTGAACGGTATTGCCTAGGTTTTCTTCTAGGGTTTTTACAGTTTTAGGTCTTACATTTAAGTCTTCAATCCATCTTGAATTAATTTTTGTATAAGGTATAAGGAAGGGATCCAGTTTCAGCTTTCTACATATGGCTAGCCAGTTTTCCAGCACCATTTATTAAACAGGGAATTCTTTCCCCATTTCTTGTTTTTGTCAGATTTGTCAAAGATCAGATGGTTGTAGATGTGTGGTGTTATTTCTGAGACCTCTGTTCTGTTCCATTGGTCTGTCTCTCTGTTTTGGTACCAGTACCATGCTGTTTTGGTTACTGTAGCCTTGTAGTAGAGTTTGAAGTCAGGTAGCGTGATGCCTCCAGCTTTGTTCTTTTGGCTTAGGATTGTCTTGGCTATGCAGTCTCTTTTTTGATTCCATATGAACTTTAGAGTAGTTTTTTCCAATTCTGTGAAAAAAGTTATTGGTAGCTTGAGGGGATGGCATTGAATCTGTAAATTACCTTGTGCAGTATGGCCATTTTCACAATATTGATTCTTCCTATCCATGAGCATGGAATATTCTTCCATTTGTTTGTGTCCTCTTTTGTTTCATTGAGCAGTGGTTTGTAGATCTCCTTGAAGAGGTCCTTCACATCCCTTGTAAGTTTGATTCCTAGGTATTTTGTTCTCTTTGTAGCAATTGTGAATAGGAGTTCACTCATAATTTGGCTCTCTGCCTGTTATTGGTGTATATGAATGATTGTGATGATTGCACATTGATTTTGTATCCTGAGATTTTGCTGAAGCTGCTTATCAGCTTAAGGAGATTTGGGGCTCAGACGATGGGGTTTTCTAAATATATGTCCTCTGTAAACAGGGACAATTTGACTTCCTCTTTTCCTATTTGAATATCCTTTATTTCTTTCTCTTGCCTGATTGCCCTGGCCAGAACTTCCAACACTATGTTGAATAGGAGTGGTGAGAGAGGGCATCCTTGTCTTGTGCTGGTTTTCACAGTGAATGCTTCCAGTTTTTGCCCATTCAGTATGATATTGGCTGTGGGTTTGTCATAAATAGCTCTTATTATTTTGAGATATATTCCATTAATACCTAGCTTATTGAGAGTTTTCAGCATGAAGGACTGTTGAATTTTGTCAAAGGCCTTTTCTGCATCTATTGAGAGAATCATGTGGTTTTTGTCATTGGTTCTGTTTATGTGATGGATTGCTTTTATTGATTTGCGTATGTTGAACAAGCCTTGCATCCCAGGGATGAAGCCAGTTTGATCGTGGTGGATAAGCTTTTTGATTTGCTGCTGGATTTGGTTTGCCAGTATTTTATTGAGGATTTTTGCATCGATATTCATCAGAGATATTGGTCTAAATTTCTCTTTTTTGTTGTGTCTCTGCCAGGCTTTGGTAGCAGGATGATGCTGGCCTCATAAAATGAGTTAGGGAGGATTCCCTCTTTTTCTGTTGATTGGAAATAGTTTCAGAAGGAATGATACCAGCTCCTCTTTGTACCTCTGATATAATTTGGCTGTCAATCCGGTCCTGGACTTTTTTTGGTTGGTAGCCTATTAATTATTGCCTCCATTTCAGAGCCTGTTATTGGTCTATTCAGAGATTCAGTTTCTTCCTGGTTTAGTCTTGGGAGGGTGTATGTGTCCAGGAATTTATCCATGACTTCTAGATTTTCTAGTTTATTTGCATAGAGGTGTTTATAGTATTCTCTGATGGTAGTTTGTATTTCTGTGGGATTGGTGGTGACAACCCTTTATCATTTTTTTATTGCATCTATTTGAGTCTTCTCTCTTTTCTTCTTTATTAGTCTTGCTAGTGGTCTATTTATTTGATCTTTTCAAAAAACCAGCTCCTGGATTCATTGATTTTTTGAAGGGTTGTGTCTCTATCTCCTTCATTTCTGCTCTGATCTTAGTTATTTCTTGTCATCTGCTCGCTTTTGCATTTGTTTGCTCTTGCTTCTCTAGTTCTTTTAATTTTGATGTTAGGGTGTTGATTTTAGATTTTTCTTGCTTTCTCTTGTGGACATTTGGTGCTATAAATTTCCCTCTACACACTGCCTTAAGTGTGTACCAGAGATTCTAGTACATTGTGTCTTTGTTCTCATTGGTTTCAAAGAACATCTTTATTTCTGCCTTCATTTTGTTATTTACCCAGTAGTCATTCAGGAGCAGGTTGTTCAGTTTCCATGTAGTTGTGCAGTTTTGAGTGAGTTTCTTAATCCTGAGTTCTAATTTGATTGCACTGTGGTCTGAGACAGAGTTTGTTGTGATTTCTGTTCTTTTACATTTGCTGAGGTGTGTTTTACTTCCAATTATGTGGTCCATTTTAGAATAAGTGAGATATGGTGCTGAGAAGAATGTATATTTTGTTGATTTGGGGTGGAGAGTTCTGTAGATGTCTATTAGGTCCACTTAGTGCAGAGCTGAGTTCAAATCCTGGATATCCTTGTTAACCTTCTGTCTCATTGATCTGTCTAATATTGACAATGGGGTGTTAAAGTCTCCCATTATTATTGTGTGGGAGCTTAAGTGTCTTTGTAGGTCTCTAAGAACTTGCTTTATGAATCTGGTTGCTCCTGTATTGCATGGATATACATTTAGGGGAGTTACCTCTTCTTATTGAATTGATCCTTTACCATTATGTAATGGCCCTCTTTTTCTCTTTTGATCTTTGTTGGTTTAAAGACTGTTTTATCAGAGACTGGGGTCGCAACCCCTGCTTTTTTTTTTTTTTTTCTTTCCATTCGCTTGGTAGATCTTCCTCCATCCCTTTATTTTGAGCCTATGTGTGTCTCTGCACATGAGATGGGTTTCCTGAATACAGCACACTGGTGGGTCTTGACTCTTTATCCAATGTGCCAGTCTGTGTCTTTTAATTGGGGCATTTAGCCCATTTACATTTAAGGTTAATATTGTTATGTATTAATTTGATCCTGTCATGATGTTATCTGGTTGTTTTACCCATTAATTGATGCAGTTTCTTCCTAGCATCAATGGTCTTTACAATTTGGCATGTTTTTGCAGTGGCTGGTATGGGTTGTTCCTTTCCATGTTTAATGCTTCCTTCAGGAGCTCTTGTAAGGCAGGCCTGGTGGTGACAAAATCTCTCAACATTTGCTTGTCTGTAAAGGATTTTATTTCTCCTTCACTTATGAAGCTTACTTTGGCTGGATATGAAATTCTAGTTTGACAATTCTTTTCCTTCAGAATGTTGAATATTGGCCCCTACTCTCTTCTGGCTTGTAGGGTTTCTGCAGAGAGATCTGCTCTTAGTCTGATGGGCTTCCCTTTGTGGGTAACCCGACTTTTCTCTCTGGCTGCCCTTAACATTTTTTCCTTTGTTTCAACTTTGGTGAATCTGACAATTATGTGTCTTAGAGTTGCTCTTCTCAAGGAGTATCTTTGTGGTGTTCTCTGTATTTCCTGAATTTGAACGTTGGCCTGCCTTGCTTGGTTGGGGAAGTTCTCCTGGATAATACCCTGAAGAGTATTCTAACTTGGTTCCATTCTCCCTGTCACTTTCAGGTACACCAGTCAAACATAGATTTGGTCTTTTCACATAGTCCCATATTTCTTGGAGGTTTTGTTCATTTCTTTTTACTCTTTTTTCTCTAATCTTGTCTTTTTGCTTTATTTCATTAATTTGATCTTCGATCACTGATATCCTTTCTTCCACTTGATCAAATCAGCTATTGAACCTTGAGCATGCATCATAAAGTTCTCGTGCTGTGGTTTCCAGTTCCATCAGGTCATTTAAGGTCTTCTCTACACTGTTTATTGTAGTTAGCCATTCGTCTAACCTTTTTTCAAGGTTTTTAACTTCTTTGTGATGGGTTAGAACATGCTCCTTTAGCTCAGAGAAATTTGTTATTAGCGAACTTCTGAAGCCTACTTCTGTCAACTCTTCAAAGTCATTCTCCATCCAGTTTTGTTCGGCTGCTGGCAAGGAGCTGCAATCCTTTGGAGGAGAAGAGGCACTCTGGTTTTTGGAATTTTCAGCTTTTCTGCTCTGGTTTCTTTCCATCTTTGTGGTTTTATCTACCTTTGGTCTTTGATATTGGTGACCTACAGGTGGGGTTTTGCTGTGGATGTCCTTTTTGTTGATGTTGATGCTATTCCTTTCTGTTTGTTAGTTTTTCTTCTAACGATCAGGTCCCTTAGCTGCAGGTCTGTTGGAGTTTGCTGGAGGTCCACTCCAGACCCTGTTTTCCTGGGTATCACCAGCAGAGGCTGCAGAACAGCAAATAGTGCAGAACAGCCAATATTGCTGCCTGATCCTTCCACTGGAAGCTTTGTCCCAGAGGGACACCTGCCTGTATGAGGTGTCTGTCAGCCCTTACTGGGAGGTGTCTCCCAGTCAGCCTACATGGGGGTCAGGGACCCACTTGAGGAGACAGTCTGTTTGTTCTCAGAGCTCGAACGCCATGCTGGAAGAACCACTGCCCTCTTCAGAGCTGTCAGACAGGGACGTTTAACTCCAACATTTTCTTTCTTTTGAGTGCTTTCCAGATAACTTCCTGAGATTTCTCTTCTAGTACATTAACTTTCTTGTTAGTCTTATCTAATATATTTAACCTACTAATTTCAATTCTTACATATTTCCATTTCTAAAAGTCATATTTTACTATTTTTGAAATCCCTATTCTAATTCAGAATACTTTTATGATTTTATTCCATCTGTTACATCATTTTAATTATGCATATTTGACAGTCACCATGTGACAGTTCTATTAATTGGTATACTGTCACTCACAGTTTATTGTTTGTCTAGTGTGCTGTAATTTTGAAATGTGAGCTTATCTTCATTGTGGCTTTATCTATGGAATCTTGTGTGCCACGCATTGAAGAAACGTCCCTCCAGAGGGGTTCTGCATTTTCCTCTGCGAATTGGGAAACACCAAGTATTCTCTCAGCTTAGAAATTCCCAATGAACTATTTTCACAAGGTTTTCATGTGCTCAATGTTCAAAAGCAGGACAATGGTTTCACTTGCTTTGAAAACATTTCAGTAAGGAGTTTTAAAAGTCCTTCAGCTGAAAAGTCTGTGTAAAAAGGTCACTTTGTAATGTGGCCACCTGGTATAAAAACAATCTACACCTAAAGCACCTAATCCCATTGGCAAGCTTCTTGTGAATTGAAATAAGACCAGACTTTCAACTTATTCAAATAGCCAGAATTAGGACAAGAAGTTTCTAATTTATATGATTTACATTCATTATATCTTCTGGGTAATACTTATAACTCAAATAATTACGGATTTTTTTTATTCTGGTTGGTTTCAATTTGCAGTATTTAATCCAGAATTCCTGTTTAAGCTAACTCAGCAGGGATAACTGCTTCACAGTCCTCCTCATCCACTTGGAAGCCACAAGTTTTCCTGGAAAAAAAAATCCTGTGAGCAAATGACAGAGTAGAAATTTCTACCTCTCATTCCTCCTTAGAAACATCAATAAAACAATGATATTAATACAAAAATACCTTGAAGAGAAACTCAGAATCCAGCTAGCTAAAAGCACTCTAGAAAAGAACAAACTTAAAGTAGTCACATTCATATGGATAAAAGAACAATTTTATTTTACCTGCATCAGTCCCTCCAAACAGGCTTAGCTTAGCACTAAGATCACCTAGGCCTGTGACTTCTACTATAGGAGGAAAAGTGAGATCGGAGCATGTGTCTGAGTGCCTTGCCTCCTGACTTCTCAGGAGCCCTCCTTGGGGCTGATTTCTATACCTCCTAATACTAACCACTGAACAACCTGTAGATCCCATCTCCAGGGCCATCTAGAAACAAAGAAAAGAGGAAGGTGAGCCTTTTATACCAGTACTGCTCTGCAAGATTGGGAATAGGTGCAAAATTGAGGTTTTCCTTCCATATGGGAGGAAAGAAGTAAAAGGAAGCTTATTCCTACCCCAGTGCACCCTCCATGGAGCTGGTTTTTAACTCACCTAAAGCTGTACACTAAATAACCTAGAGATCCTGGTCTCCTAGGACAGCTAAGAATAAAGGAAAAGAGTGAGCATCCCCTTACAGCTGGCACTGCTCTGTATAATTGGAGAAAAGCACAGAACTGAGGCTTTTCCTCCAGAAGGGAGGTAAGGGTATAAGGGGGCCTTGCCCTCAGTTTAACAGTATGCTCACTAAGGAATAATTTTCTGTCTTGCCTCATATTAAGTACTGCTGACCAGTAAAGGTCTCTCCCAGTCAAAATTATTCCATAAAGATTGGGAAAGGTAGTTGCTTATTCAAATGCACAGATGACAAGGCAAACCTATAAAAAGCATGAAGATTAAAGAAAACAAAACACAATCAAAAAAGAAAACAAATCTCTAATAACCAACCCGAAAGAAATGGAGATCTGTGAATTACCTGAAAAGAATGCAAAATAATCATCTCAAATGAAAGAGAAGACATTATAACTAATACCATCAAAATACAAAGGATTTTAATAAATTATTAGAAAAAATTAAGCACCAACAAATTGGATAACCTAGAAAAAAAAATGGGTAAATTCCTAGACACATAAAACCTACCAAGACAATTATGCAGAAATAAAATCTGAACTTCGTCAGTGATACCCAGGTCAAAAAAGAAAAGAAAATCTGAACAGATCAATAGCAATAAAGAGATCGAATCATTAATAAAAAGTTTCTCATCAAAGAAAAGCCCAGGACCTGAAGGCTTCACTGCTGTTTTCTACTCAAACATTTAAAGAACTAATACCAATCCTTCTTAAACTCTTCCAAGAAGTTAAATAAGTTATATTTTCAAACCCATTTTATGAGACCAGCATTATTATGAAACCAAAGCCTGACAAAAACACTTCAAGAATTGTGGCACATGTATACATATGTAACTAACCTGCACATTGTGCACATGTAGCCTAAAACTTAAAGTATAATAATAAATTTTTTAAAAAGAATTGAAAAATTGCAGGCCAATATTCTTGATTAACATAGTTACAGAAATTCTCAACAAAATTTTGGCAAACCAAATCCAACAGCACTGTAAAAGGATCATTCATCATGATCAAGTGGGACTTATCTCAGGGATGCAAGGTTGGTTCAACATATAGAAATCTATAAATGTAATATAACACATTAACAGAATAAAGGACAAAAACAATATAATAATCTCAATAGATGCAAAAAAGTCGTTTTACAAAATTCAGCATTCTTTCATGACAATAACTCTCAGCAAATTAAGTATAGAAGGAATGTACCTTAAAACAATAAAGGCCATATATGAGAAGCCCACAGCTAACATCATCCTCCACAGTGAAGAGTTGAACTCTTTACCTTTATGACCAGACATCAATGCCTACTCTTGCTACTTCTATTCAACATAGTACTGGCAGTCCTATCAGAAAAATTAGGCAAGAGAAATAACTAAAAGTCATCAAAGTATATTAGAAAAGAAGAAGTTAAATTGTCCCTGTTTACAGACACCAAGATCTTATATATATAGGAAAACCTAAAGACTCCACCAAAAAGCTGTTATAACTAATAAATAAATTCAAGAAAATTTCAGGATTCAAAATCAACATACAAGTATTAGTAGCATTTCTATACACTAACGACAAACTATCCAAAAAAGAAATCAAGAAAGCAATACTATCTATAAAAACTATCAAAACAATAATAAAATAGGAATAAATTTAACCAAGAAAGTTAAAAACCTGTGCACTGAAAATTATAAAACATTGATGAAAGAAATTGAAGAAGACATTATAAATGAAAATATATTCACTGTGCAGGAATTGGAAGAATTAATATTGATAAAATGTCCATACAACCAACAGCAATCTATATATTCAATGGAATCCCTATCAAAAGTTCAATGACATTTTTCAGAGAAATAGAAAACAATCTTAAAATTTGTATGAAACCACAAAAGACTCTGAATAGCCAAAGCAATCTTGAGCAAAAACCAAACCCAGAGGCATCATATTGCCTGGTTTCAAAATATACTACAAAGCTATAGAAATGAAAACAGCATGGTACTGACATAAAAACAGATACATCAACCAATGGAACAAAAATAAGACTCCTCAGAAATAAATCCATGCCTTATAGCCAATTAATTTTCAAAAAGATACCAAGAACACACAATGGGGAAAGGACAGTCTATTCAATAAATGATGTTGGAACAAATGGACATCTACAGGCAAAAGAATGAAATTAGACCCTCATCTCACACCGTATACAAAAATCAATTCAAAATGGATTAAAGGCTTAAACAAGAGACCTGAAACTACAAAACTACCAGAGAAAAAACATAGGCAAATCTCCATGACATTGATCTTGGCAATGATTTTTTTGAATATGAAGTCAAAAGCACAGAGAGCAAAAGTAAAAATAGACAAATGGTATTACATTAAACCAAAAATCTCTGCACAGCAAGGAAAACAATCAACAGAGTGAAGAGATAACCTACAGAATGGAAGAAAATATTTTCAAGTGATACATCTGATAAGAAGTTAATATTGAGCAAAGCACCTGAATATACATTTCTCAGGAGACATACAAATTGCCAACGGATATTTGAAAAGGTGCTCAGCATTACTAATCATCATGGAAATGCATGAGAAACCACTTCACATATATTAGAATGGCTATCATCAAAAAGACGAAAGATAACAAGTGTTGGCGAGGATGTGGAGAAAAGGGAACCCTTGTTCACTGTTGGCAGATATTTAAATTAGTACAATTATAGAAAACAGTATAACGTTTCCTCCAAAAACTAAATATAGAATTATCATATAATGTAGCAATTCCACTTCTGGGTATATATCCAAAGAAAATGAAATCAGTATGTTGATAAGATATCTGCACTCCCATGTTTATTGCATCATTATTACCAACAGCTAAGATATGGAATCAACCTAAGTGTCCATCAAGGAATTAATGAAGAAAGAAAATGTGGTGTATATCTACATATACAATAGAATATTATTCAGTTTGTAAAAAAAGAGAATTTTCTCATTTATGATAATATGAACAAAACTGGAAGACATTATGCTAAGTGAAACAAGCCATATACAGAAAGACAAATAATGCATGATCTTACTTGTATGTAGAATCTTAAAAAGTTGACCTTTTAGAAGAAGAAAGTAGAATGGTAGTTACCAGGGACATGGGAAAATGTTGGTCAAAGGGTACAAAGTTTCAGTTATGCAGGATGAACGAGTTCTGGAGATCTAATATACAGCATGGAGACTACAGTTTATAATACTGTATCATATGCTTGAAATTTCTTGAGTAAATATTGTTTTCACCAAAAAAAGTTAATTATGTGAGTTGATAGATATGATAATTAGCTTGATTGTAGTAAACATTTCACAATGCCTAGGTACACTAAGACATCAAGTTGTGCACCTTAAATATACACAATTTTTGTTTGTTAAACAATATTAAACCTCAATAAAACTGGAAAAAATTAAAAATGAAAACAAAACAAATCCTGCACCCTACATTTTACTTCTCTACCACACCCCCAGCATTAATCAACATAGAATCTCCACTTTTCTCTGGTTTCATTAATATGTGTCCTGCAGCTTCTTTTCCTAGGTTTTCCCTCTATAGCTAGACCCTTCCATTTAAAAAATAAGTTTGAGCCTTGTTAATTTCCATTTCTCTTCATGTTAAGATACATCTTTTACAACTGTCCCTTCTCTTTTAGCATTAAGCATCAAGGCCTAAACCAAATGTACCCAAACTTCTCAGTCTCAGGACTTTTTAGAATCTTAAAAATTATTGAGGCTGGACGTGGTGGCTCATGCCTGTAATCCCAGCACTTTGGAAGGCTGAGGCAGGTGGATCACTTGAGGTCAGGAGTTTGAGACCAGCCTGGCCAAAATGGTGAAACCCTGTCTCTACTAAAATGTAAAAATTAGCTGCAAGTGGTGGTACGTGACTGTAATCCCAACTACTCAGGAGGCTGAGGCAGGAGAATCGCTTGAACCCAGAAGGCGGAAGTTGCAGTGAGCAGAGATCGCGCCACAGCACTCCCGCCTCGGTGACACAGCGAGACTCTGTCTCAAAAAAAAATAAAAAAATTATTGACGACCCAAAAAATTTTTTATGTTGTTTTTCACTATTGAAGGTCCCATATTGGAAATTAAAACTGACAATTTTTAAATATGTATTTCCTTATTTATTTTTAAATGACAATAATAAACTAATTTTGTGTTAATATAAATGGCATCTTTTCATGAAGAAATCATATTTTCAAAAAAACTTATTGAAAAGAATAACATTGTGTTACAGATTTGCAAATTTTAACATATCTGGCTTAATAGAGCACAGCTGGATTCTCATATCTGCTTTCACTTTGAATCTTTTGTAATACCACATTTCATGCAATGATGAAAAACTTCACTATTCACTCACCAGATATTGAGATTGAAAAGAGGCAAATACTAATATTATTTTGAAAATAGATTTGGCCTCATGGAGACCCTGAAAGGAACTCAAGAACCACTAGGGGTTCAGAAATTACAGAGAATTTCTGACCTAGCGTTAAGTTCCAGCCAGCCCAGCCGCCCAAGTCCAAGCTGGAGACACCACACCCTAATCTAATCCTAGTACCATCAGCCTGAGATAGGAGTTTTAATAGTATTCATGTATAATCAGAATGGCCTCACCTATCTCCTATCTTATAGTTCCGTTTACATACTCTCCTTTCCAGTATCACTTATCTTGGTAAGATGTCTCACATGTTGCATTTACATAAGCCTGGACAAGCAGAGTTGAATCATTGGCCAGTAAATGAAAAAATGCATACAAGTAATATACAGTCACAACTCTTTTTCCACTTCTCATAACTCCAAGCCACCCCTTAATAATTTTAAACACCATTTTTCTCCCTAACAGTACAGTTGGCTTGATTATCCTGCTTGAATTAATCTGTCAATTGCCTCCTTGTCTCCTTCAATTTTTTGTAGTGGTAACCTGGCTTTAAATCCTAGCATTTTCACTTTATCAGTAAAGATGCATTCAGCAACAGATAGCTGAAAACCTACTAAAAGTGGTTTAAGTGATAAGAGTATTTATTTTCTCTTGTAAATCCTGAGATAGGTTGGTGTTAGTGAGAGGTGACAGCGTGCTGGCAGTCCTCACAGCCCTCGCTGGTTCTTGGCGCCTCCTCTGCCTGGGCTCCCACTTTGGCGGCACTTGAGGAGCCCTTCAGCCCACTGCTGCACTGTGGGAGCCCCTTTCTGGGCTGGCTAAGGCGGGAGCCGACGCCCTCAGCTTGCAGGGAGGTGTGGAGTGAGAGGCGCCAGCGGGAACCGGGGCTGCGCGTGGCGCTTGCGGGCCAGCTGGAGTTCCGGGTGGGCGTGGGCTTGGCGGGCCCCGCACTCGGAGCAGCCGGCCGGCCCTGCCGGCCCCAGGCAGTGAGGGGCTTAGCACCCGGGCCAGCGGCTGCGGAGGGTGTACTGGGTTCCTCCCCCAGCAGTGCCAGCCAACAGGCGCTGCGCTCGATTTCTCGCCGGGCCTTAGCTGCCTTCCCGCGGGGCAGGGCTCCGAACCTGCAGCCCGCCATGCCTGAGCCTCCCACCCCCTTCGTGAGCTCCTGTGCTCCGCAGCCTCCTCGACGAGCGCCGCCCCCTGCTCCATGGCGCCCAGTCCCATCAACCACCCAAGGGCTGAGGAGTGCAGGCGCACAGCACAGGACTGGCAGGCAGCTCCATCGGTGCGGGATCCACTGGGCGAAGCCAGCTGGGCTTCTGAGTCTGATGGGGACGTGGAGAACCTTTATGTCTAGCTCAGGGATTGTAAATACACCAATTGGCACTCTGTATCTAGCTCAAGGTTTGTAAACACACCGATCAGCACCCTGTGTCTAGCTCAGGGATTGTAAACGCACCAATCAGCACCCTGTCAAAACAGACCACTCGGCTTTACCAATTAGCAGGATGTGGGTGGGGCCAGAAAAGAGAATAAAAGCAGGCTGCCCCAGACAGCAGTGGCAACCTGCTCCGGTCCCCTTCCACATTGTGGAAGCTTTGTTCTTTCACTCTTTGCAATAAATCTTGCTACTGCTCACTCTTTGGGTCCACACTGCTTTTATGAGCTATAACACTCACCGCGAAGGTTTGCAGCTTCACTCCTGAAGCCAGCGAGACCATGAGCCCACCGGGAGGAAGGAACAACTCCAGATGCGCTGCCTTAAGAGCTGTAACACTCACCGCGAAGGTCTGCAGCTTCACTCCTGAGCCAGCGAGACCACGAACCCACCAGAAGGAAGAAACTCCGAACACATCTGAACATCAGGAGGAACAAACTCCGGACACGCCGCCTTTAAGAACTGTAACACTGACGGAGAGGGTCCGCGGCTTCATTCTTGAAGTCAGTGAAACCAAGAACCCACCAATTCCGGACACATTAGGATTGGTTAATCCAGCACAGTCTTTTCATCTGTCCATTCAGCCATCCTTAGAATGTTACCTTTGTTCTTTGGTTTTCTCCTTTCACCTCAGCCTGATGCCTTCAAGAGTACCACACACCCCAACTTCACACCACAGCATCTAAAGGCAGACAAAGGGTAAAATGTCTAAGAACATGAATAAGCTCTCCAGGAGCTCCACAGTGAATTTCCCATGTCTCGTTAGACAAAATTATGTTTCATTCTCATGCTTGAGCCAACTACTTGGCAAAGGAAAGGACATCACCATAATTGAATTAGACCAACTAAAGGTCACCCCCTGTAGCTGGGGAGGGACTGTGTGCCTTCTCCTGCCTCCCATGATGAAAAACATTGGGGTTCTCATTGCATAAAAAAAGGAAGAAATAGCTGTTGGGTGGGTGGCCAACAGTATCTTTCCATCTGCATTCTAGCTCTGTGATCTTAGAGAGGTTATTGAACATCTTTCAACCTCAGTTTCCCTATCTATTGAAGACAGACAATAATAGTACTGACCATATAGAGTTTTGTAAGAATTAAATGAGATCATTCATGAACAGCACTTAGCATTATGCCTGACATGTCATAAGTATCCAGTAAATGGATACTATTTGTCATTTAACTCTCAGTGAATATTGTAATTAGACACTTTTTTGATATCTCATCTGACCGTCCGTCCTGTTCTAGCAACTAATATCTTTTATAATAATCTATTACATGATTGAAATGTTTTCTTCTTCATGCTTATTAACTGTCCTCTTTTCCACTCTTCCTTTGCCATTTATCCAATTTACTTGAAAAGAAGTACAAAAGTAGACTCAATGCTAAATTAAAGGACTGACAAACACTGAGAATAATGGGGAAGTTACTATATTTTTGGCTATAATACAGATTACTCCATTTGAAATGTCCAAATATATCATTTGCTTTTACACCAAGCCATTGTAAACTCATATTTTGCTAATAGTCCACCATGAGCCTCAGGTCTTGCTATATATCTAGTATGCCATTCCCCTTGTAATTGTTTTTCACCACTATGTATTTCCTTTGATTGATCTAGGATAAGTGCTTACATTGTGCTCCACACAAAATAAGACTTCTTTCAAAGAGAGACCTGCCTCAGATGCCTATGAAATAGAAGATCAAAAAGAGTAATCTTCAAATACAAAGTTTCATTAGCTTGATATAACAACATTATATTTGTAGTAATATGTATCTCCCAGAAATAAGTCAGGGAATGCACTGAATTATGTATGCATGCTATATATTAGTTTAAAAAATTGCTAAACTATTTGCATGTCTCACATGAGATGTGTGGAAAATACATAAGTCATCTGAGTAATTCAGAGGTTTTGTGTTATTTAGGTATTTTGTGATGATTTGTTTGAGCAATTCTTCAGGATAATTTTAATAACATTATCTTTGTAAATAAGGCCATACAGGACAACAGAAAGAGCCAGCTTGAGAATCAGAGCTGGGTTCCTGTTCTGCTTACTGCCAATTATCTGTGCAGGCTCAGGCAATTTTTGTATCCTCTCTGAATCTCAGTTTCCTCATTCTCTACACATACCTTTGTAGCTCTGATATTCTGAGCAGGGTTGATACTGCTAACCCTAGTCACATGTTGGAATTTGAAAATCCTTTCACAACACTGTTCATGCAGTGTGCACTCCAGTAAGGTGTGTGGGCACTCTTTTAAACATGTGCACAAGCTCCTTGCCCTGACAGATAACACCTGAGCTGTATCCAAGTGCTACCATTTTGACCAATGGCTGTGCAGTCTCCTTTTCATGTGTCAGAAGAGCAGAGCTCTGGTATGCTTTGAAAATGTGCTTTAGCTTGTGGAAATGTGAGATTAGCAACATCTGCTCATTAATATCTGAAGAAAGTGCAGTATCTCAGTATTTTTTATGATCAAATGGCACAGCATCCTTGAGACCATTTAGAAGCCCTGCCTCCACACCACACACATTCCTCTGTTTTCATGGAAGAAAACATTGCCACAGCAGGCTGGAGCTAGAGTAAGACTGGAACCCAGAGAGCCTATCTCTGAGACAGTGGAATTATTTGCTACATTGTCCAAATATACCACAGTGTCAAGATTGCTAATACAAATATATATTTATAGATACAGGCACTAATGTAAATATAAATATAAATTAACCAAAATTATGTTCACAGTGTTTTACAGTCTATAAGCAATGTATACCTCTGCTATCTTCATCTAAGCCTCACTGAAATGCTTTGGCTCTGTGTCCCTACCCAAATCTCATGTTGATTGTAATCCCCAATGTTGGAGATGAGGCCTGGTGGGAGGTGATTGGATCATGGGTGTAGATTTCCTCCTTTGGTGCTGTTCTCGTGATAGAGTTCTTATGAGATATTTTTGTTTAACAGTGTGTGGCACCTCCCCACTCTATCTCTTCCTCCTGCTCCAGCCATGTAAGAAATGCCTGCTTCCTCTTCACTTTCCACCACGATTGTAAGCTTCCTGAAGCCTCCCCACCCATGCTTTCTGTACAGCCTACAGAACTTTGAGCCAATTAAACCTCTTTTTTTAATAAATTACCAGTCTCAGGTATTTCTTTATAACAGTGTGAGAATAAACTAATACAGAAAATTGGTACCCAGGCATGGGGCATTGCTATAAAGATACCAGAAAATTTGGAAGTGCTTGTGGAACTGGGTAATGGGCAAAGGTTGGAACAGTTTGGAGGGCTCAGAAAAAGACAAGAAGATGAGGGAAAGTTTGGAACTTTCTAGAGACTTGTTGAATGGTTGTGACCAAAATGCTGATGGTGATATGGACAGTGAAGTCCGGGCTGAGAAGGTCTCAGATGGAAATGAGAAACTTGTTAGGAACTGAAGTAAAGGTCACTCTTGCTATGCTTTAGCAAACAGACTGGCAGCATTGTGCCCCTGCCCTAGGGATCTGTGAAACTCTGAACTTGAGAGTGATTATTTAGGGTATCTGGAAGAAGAAATTTCTGAGTAGCAAAGAGTTCAAGATGTGGCCTGGCTGCTTCTAGCAGCCTATGCTCATATTCTTGAGCAAAACCGGAACTTAAATTTCAAAGAAAAACAGAGAATAAACGTTTGGAAAATTTGCAGCCTATCCATGAGTTAGAAAAGAAAAACCCATTTTCTGGGGAGGAATTCAAGCAGGTTGGAGAAATTTGCATAAGAGGAACCAAATGTTAATAGCAAAAACAATGGGGAAAAGGCCTCTAATGCATTTAGAAACTTTGAGGCAGCCCCCATCACAGTCTTTGAGGCCTAGAGAGAAGAACAGCTCCCACTGCCCTGTACAACCTTAGGAAAACACTCCCTGCATTCCATCTGCTCTAGCTCCTGTCTTGGCTCAAAGGGGCCCAGATACTCAGGTTGCTGCTTCACAGGGTGCAAGCCATAAGGGTTGGCAGCTTCCACATGGTGTTAAGCTGGACAGAGTGCAACAGTTAAGTCCTGGAAACCTCCATCTAGATTTCAGAAGATGTACAGTAAAGCCTAGATGTCCAGGCAGAAGTCTGCTGCAGAGGCAGAGCCCTCACAGAGAACCTCTACTAGGGCAGTGCAGAGGGGAAATGTGGGGTTGGAGCCCCCACAGAGAGTCCCCACTGGGGCACTGCCTAGCAAAACTATGAAAAGAGAGCAACCATTCTCCAGACCCCAGAATGATAAACACACCAACAGCTTGCACTGTGGACCTGGAATGCCTCAGGCACTCAATACCAGCTCTTGAGAGCAGCTGTGGGGGCTAATCCTTGCAGAGCCACAGGGGCAGAGCTTCTCAAAGCCTTGGAACACCACCTCTTGTACTACTGTGGCCTGGATGTGAGACATTGAGTCAAAGGAGATTATTTTGGAGCTTTAAGATTTAATGACTGCCCAGCTAGGTTTCAAGGCTGCATGGGGCCTGTATCCCCTTTCTTATGGCCAATTTCTCCCTCTTAGAATGGGAATATTTACCCAATGTTTGTACTCCCATTGTAATTTTGAAATAACTAACTGTTTTTTAATTTTACAGGCTCATAGGTGGAAGGGACTAGCCTTGTCTCAATGGGACTTTGGACTTTGGACTTTTGAGTTAATGCCGCAATGAGTTAAGATTTTGGGAGACGGTTGAGAAGAAATTATTGTACTTTAAAATGTGAGAAAAAATGAGATTTGGGAGGGGATAGAAGCAGAATGATATGGTTCAGCTCTGTGTTCCCACCCAAATCTCATGTTGAATTGTAATCCTCAATGTTGGATGTGGAGCCTGGTGGGAGGTGATTGAATCAATGGGGTGGATTTTCCCCTGCTTTTCTCGCGAGATCTGGTTAAGTGTGTGGCACCTCTCCGTTCTCTCTGTTCCTCCTGCTTGAGCCATGTAAGATGTGTTTCCCCTTCCCCTTTTACCATAATTGTGTGTCCTGAGGCCTCCTCGGCCATGCTTCCTGTACAGCTTGTAGAACCATGAGCCAATTAAACCTCTTTTCTTTATAAATTATCTAGTCTTCGATATGTCTTTATAGTAGTGTGAGAACAGACTTCTTTATAATAGTGAGAGAATAGTGTGAGAACTTTATAATAGTGTGAGAACAGAGTCACCAAAAAGAAAGCTGACACTTGGAAGGGTTAAGTGACTTGTCCAGTGTCACTTGACTAGGTGGTAAAAGAGCCAACCCTGAACACCAGCTCCTCTGATTCCTGGTCTCATATGTTTCCTGGACTCAGCCTTGCCTTCCATCAAATAGGCTTTTTACCATGAAATGAAGCAGATCTTCCCACCACCTCTGGCTGCTCAGTGATCAAGGGTTGTTCCAGTTGGCAATACACTCCAAACTATTCATATTTTCTAATCTACTAATTTCAACACAATAATTGAGTTTACTTTTTGGAAACTCCTGAACAGGAAACTAGCCAGAATGTTTGGGTTGATTTTTGGGAGTGCTGTGAAATAGCTCATTACCACACATGTAATCATGTTAATATATGATGATATAAATGGGTGGTTCATTCCAGACAAAATAGTTGAATAAGCCATTTTTGCTCCCATTCTTTTCATCATATAATTTTGATAATTCCTTACATTTATACAAGGAGCTGCAGCATAATGGTCAAATGGAAGCACTGTAGTGGTCAAATCAGGGTTCAAACCATGGCTGTTTTACCAGCTATGTAACCAGGGGTCATAGTCCTCATTTATATAAGGGACATAAAATTGTAGTATATACATCAAAAAATTAAGAGGGTTAAGTGTGGTAATGCTTATAAAGGGCTTAAAATTGTACTAAGTACACAGGAAGCATGCAATAAATGTTAGGTATTATTATTATTATTGCTGCTGTTATTATTTTTTATGTAATGAGTATCACATTATCCCCATTTTACAAACAAGAAAACTGAGACTTATAGAGAATAGTGTTTTTTCCTAAAGCCCCAAAATCTTAAGAGGCTTTATGGGAACTTGTTTGCTAAAACCCCGTTAAAGATTAATCAGAATCACATTGAGATCAAAAACAAGAAGAGGGGAGAGGAGAGGAGGAATATCAGGCTAGAGAGGTGGAAGGGACCACTGAAGGACCCTGTGAGACAGCACTAAGCTGAATGTTGCCAACCCCACACTTCTGCTTTACTTAATAAGGGACTACTCTGTGCCAGCCTGCTTTCCTCAAGTGGCTTGGTTTTCCCTCCAAGTGTGACAATCACAGAAGAATCAGTCAAATGAAAAGACACACTTTAGGTCATTTATTAATATAGCCTCTAAAGCAGAAGGCCTACAGTGTTTAGGTTTCTACTATTTGAAATAATAAAGCTGTTCAAATTTAAGAGTATATCAAGCATTTGTACATAATCTTCTCTTCTTAAGAGGTCTGTACATTAAAAATATATACTGTTAGCTGAAAGTAAGAAAAAATTAAACTAAACTATCTATGGTGAAGGTCTAGTTATTATTGTTATTTTAATTTCTAATTTGTCTTGCACTGGTCAATACCCTATTCAATGAGACAAATCTACCTGTTACTGGCTTGACTTTTGTAACAATGCCAAATTGTAATAATAGTATCTAAATCCTTATTATCAAATTATGTTCTCATCTCTTCATGAAGCAGTAACAGTTTGTAAACTGGCATGTACTATTCACATTTTGAGTAGTATAAGCACATTTATTATTGACCTCAAGGGAAATCCAGAAGTGGTCATGGGATTAACTTGGGGGCTTGATGTCATTAAGACCCAGATTTTTTTTTATTATGCCACTTTTCTATCTGAAGGATATTAATTACTGCCCTCTAGCTTGTCATCTCATTGCCACAACCTTCCAGGGCTCAAGATATTAGCTCCTCATTCAACACTATCCAAAGCAGGAAGGAAAGCATGAAGAAAAAAGGGCTTTCCTTCATGTGGTTCTATCTTCACTCAGAGAGAACTGTCTTGTCTAGAAACTTTCCAAAGATCCCCCAACTCATCCAAAACTGGGTCACATGCCTGCCCCTAGACCAAACATGCATCCAAGGAGAATGGGATTGCTATGGTTAAGTGAGGTCAATGAGGACCCAATCCCTTGCGGCTCAGGAGCACACTGCCATCAGAACAAAATCAGGGATGTTAGCAAGAATAAGGAATGTCTGTTGGGTAAGAAAGAAACGTCTACCACAGAAGTCTTAGTTCTGTCCAGACCACATGAATCTTAAGAAGTCTGCCTTCAGGGAAAATGTGGCATTCTGCAAGGAGGATAAAGGATGCATTCAAATTTCTAGTGTTATATAGATTCACTAGGAACTTCTGGAATTTAGAAACTACCAGAAGGCATATCTCGCATTCATTACCTCTCAGGCAAGTTTTTCTTAACTTTGTAAGATTCTTTTTCCTCAGGGGTGTGTTATGAGGATTCTTTTCCATACATGTTCTGCTTATGTAACAAGGAATTTTAAAGTTAATAGAAGCATGTATTTTTTTTCCATAAGTTATTGGGGTACAGGTGGTATTTGGTTACGTGAGTAAGTTCTTCAGTGGTGATTTGTGAGATTTTGGTGCACCCATCACCCAGGCACTACACGCTGCACTCTATTTGTAGTCTTTTATCCCTTTCCCCCTCCCACTCTTCTCCCCAAGTCCCCAAAGTCCATTGTATCATTCTTATGCCTTTGCATCTTCATAGCTTAGATCCTACGTATCAGTGAGAACATACAATGTTTGGTTTTCCATTGCTGAGTTACTTACTTAGAATAGTAGTCTCCAATCTCATCCAGGTCATTGTAAATACTGTTAATTCATTCATTTTTATGGCTGCATAGTGTTCCATCATATATATATGTTTATGTACATATATATCTATATGGAATACATATATGGATACATATATGGATATATATATCACATATATGGATATATATATATGAAAACATATATGGATATATATATATATATATATATATATATATATATATATATCACACTTTCTTTATCCACTCATTGATCGATGGACGTTTGGGTTGGTTCCACGACTTTGCAATTGTGAATTGTGCTGCCATAAATATGTGTGTGCAAGTAGACAATTCTCAAAAGAAGATATACAAATGGCCAACAAACATATGAAAAAATGCTCAACCTCACTAATGATCAGGGAAATGCAAATCAAAACCACAATGTGATACCATCTTACCCCTGAAAGAATGGCCATAATTGAAAAATCAAAAACAGTAGATGTTGGCATGGATGTGGTGATCAGGGTACACTTCTACACTGCTGGTGGTAATGAAAACTAGTATAGATGCTATGGAAAACAGTGTGGAGATTCCTTAAAGAACTAAAAGTAGAACTACCATTTGATCCAGCAATCCCACTACTGGGTATCTACCCAGAGGAAAAGAAGTCATTACTCAAAAAAGAAAGCATTTATAACAGGTCTTGACATGCGACAAACCCTAAATAAAACTTACCTTATTGCTATTATTGTTAATCGGTTATGGGGGGGGGGGTCACTTTTAGAAAATCATGAGATCTTGAGAATCTGGAGATACTTAGGGCAGCTTCAGAGACTCGCCTAACATGAATGCATAAAAGGGAAAGAGTAAGCCTGTAGATAGAAATTGTATGGGCTCCACACATAACTTCTGAGAGAAGAATAAAGGCACTCATGCTGAACCAGCAGATATTCAGTGGACCCAAATCTGTCTCCGCGTTCAAAAGAACCCAAGAAACTAGCAGTATGAAGTTACTGGTCCTTAGTAACCAAGCAAGTTACTTGGTCTTGCTTTCCCAAGTCACTTTGGGGACCAATTTGAAGAAGTTCCAACAAGAGCTGGAAAGCATGAGAACCATGATCTGCCCTTAGAGGTGGTGCTGAGATTGTGCTGCTAAGCCATCTCCCTGCAAGGGAGTCATTCCAGGAAGCCAGACACTAGAAGGATCCAGAGGATCTTTCAAGAGCTGTTGACAGGAGTAACTGGGAGTTACCACAGCCAGCAGAAAATGCTGCAAAGATCAGTGGATGCAATAATATAGAGAGTAATAGTCACCAGGAGATGGGGGCACTGGCACCCCGTCATTGAGGGCTATGATCCTTAAAACCTTGTGCTATCAGTAGCAATTTCTAAAAGACTGCTGGAAACTACCAATAAAACTGACCCTCATTATGCAAAGCAGCAGACCCTAAGTCAGAACCAGGAGGGCTTACTACTAAGAAGTCTCTGGCCCTCTTCATCACCAATTCAGGGGATGAAAGCGCTGGTCATCAAATAGCCAACTTTAGAGATAATAGCATGGAATTGGAGTCAGAAGACTTGAAGCTGAGTTCTGGATTTTCTATTCCGTGACCTTAGGTAAATCCCTTAAACTCTCTGAGATTCAGGAGATTTAATGAGCCAATGTTTACAAAAATTATTAATAACATATAAAATACCAAAGAAATTAAAAACATTATTATCATTTTTCAGTATATTTCTCAGTGAGGAGCAAAATTAACAATTTTTCACAAGGAAACCTGATGGGAATATAGCCCCAGAAAATCTGGGTGGAGACTAAAGCCAGTTTTGGAAACCCTCAATGAGAACCTGGCCAGAGGATGAGGTTTGGAGAATAAGAGTCTTGCTAATGAAAAGGATCAGATTCGAACTCGTGATCTCAAGTCCTTGGGCCACTGCACAAATGTGGTACAAATTTTCAGCTGCTTAAAGTGCCGAAGCCTCATTTTGCTTCAAATGAAAAACCACCTGAAAGTTCCCTGAAGACTTTTTAAGGGAAGATCTAAGCATAACATATCTGTGGTTTATCTTCTGTCAGTACAGTCCCTTCCAACGCTTCTTCGGAAAACCAGAAGGCAGCAATATTTCAGCAGTTGGGAGAGGACACATTACAAGATGCGATCACAGCTGCTGTGTTGAGTCAGGACACCCTTTTGATGCATGCAGACTGGTGCTATGTCAGGGTGGCCCTTGGCCTCCACCACCAGTCTCGTGGGCTTCCTGCACTCATCAGAGTCATGGTACTATCTCCTTGCCTCCCTTGCCTTGGGCACCGTCTTCTGTTTTGGCCACTAGTGGTGCTTCTGACAGATTCCATCTGCCTATCCACTTTGAGTTTCCACTACACTGACATCTGGGATTTAAAAATCATTCAATCGACTGTCAACAGAGCTTTCTTTTAAAAAAAGGCAAAGAAGATATTCAAGAAGTGAAATAATCCAAACACGATCTAAAAGGAAACAGAGAAACAGCTTTCTTTTTGTCTTGTTTTTTAAATAGGGCTTTCCATCCCCCATGTGTTTATTCTATAATTAGAAAATGTGTTGTAGAAAGGGTGTTATGATCACCCTCTAAAAATCTTGTTTTTGTAATACTGAATTTACCATATGATATTAATTTGGGGAGAGAAAAAAAAAGGAAAGCAGCTACAGCACAAAGAGTTCTGCAATGCAGCACTATGGAGTTTCAGAGGCAAGAGGAATAGCTAAAAAAAAAATCTATTAATATTTTCAGGCATGAAAGTGATGAAATTGTTTAGTTCAAGTCCACACCAACTCTTGCCTAGGCAACTGCAATAGACTGAATTGAATTAATTATCCTGCTTCCCAATTTTTCCCTCCTCTGATTCAGTCTCCAAAATGATTGTTGTGACTCGCAAGTCTGATTATTTACTTGCTCTGGTCAGAACCACTTAGAACTTGTCCCAACACTTGGTGTCCAAAGCCTCTCATTCGTTTTCTACAGGGTGACACTGCCTCCCCCAGGAGGTGTTTTAAAATGTTGAGGTAGGATTCTTTCCAGTTTTCCCCCATGGCAAGGGAGCACCACTGACTTTTAGAAGGTTGGGACCAGAAATACACACTCCTGAGATGACAAAGAACCATCCACCTGAAACACTAAGAGCACACCATTGAGAATCCCTGAGCCTACATTTTCCACTTTCTTTCCTATTCCTTCGTCTCTAATATCCAACACTCCAGCCACCTTGACTAGTCCCACTTCCAACCTCTATGGCTGTGCTCACACTAGTCTCTAATCTGAAATGTTCTTCCTAACTCACTGATTTTTGCCCACCTCAATCCTTCAAAACCCAGAAAACACTATTCCTATCCTCAAGTCAACATTAATTTCTTCCACTTTGGCAGTCCCATGTCACCTTGCTTATACTTCTGCTTTACCATGTATTATATTCTGCCTCATATTATTGGCTTTTGTGTCGCTCTTATCTCCACTGCCAAATAATACATTCCTTGACAATAGGAACTGCCTTTTCAGCTATACATACCCCAAACACTGACCACTCACTTAGTGCCTGGTACTTAGTAGATTTCTTAGATTTAATTGAATTAAACATGTTATTTTTAAAATTTTTTATATCAAATACATAAAGGCATTTTAATTTTTTTCAAAAAACCTACTGGTACATTTATATATGAAGTCTTACTTTATTAATTCTTTATAGGCAAAAATCTGTTTGAAAAAAATTGAAAAAATAGTTGATTTCCTGACCCTAACAGGATTAAATCCTTTCTAAAAGAACAGCCAAAAGGAGTTAGTCTTCCAACAGTCACAAGGAAAAGGAAAATGTAATTTTTTGGTGTTACCCAGTGAGATCTTTGTGTACACATAGCTACCCAAATGAATAAACTTTACAAATTTCACTTGAATTTAATTCAACTTTCCAAAAAAAATTTTTTTAAGTCACCTTTGGACTAGGATAAAACATGAAAAATTTCAACTCAAAGTAAGATTTTTTTTTTCTAGGAAGTTGTGAGCAAATGAAAACAAGGTTTGGCGGGAGCATTTTACCACCTCTATAGTAGGACGGGTCACTGCCAGAGCCATACTTGTTGATGAGACATTTGGCAAAAGGCCTACTGCAGAAATACAGTCTGTGACTTTATTTTGCTGGAGATTTCATCCATAAAGATTTTCTTTTCCAGTTACAAAGTTCTCCCAAGAGGGACATAGCTGCTTTTTGGAAACCTGTGAAGTATTGGCAAGTCTTGCCCTGTTTACCATGGAAACTTGTACTTGGATAGAATTACAGTGTATGACCTGGTAGAAGCATAGATGGATGTTTGATGCCTGCTATTTTCTCTTCATGTTGATTTGGAAATTATAAATCACAGAACCAGATCAAATAACTTTGATCTTTCTAGTTCATTCGTTCATTATGGCATAGGGTCATACCTGTACAAACTTGAAAATACATTGTCAGATGACAGGACATATGTTACAATTAAGATTTATGGTTTTGTTTCTGATTAACCTGCATAGGGTTGCCTGAAAGGGGAGTAGACTATTTGTAAGCATAGATGAGCTAATGTCTGCTTATCTGTTTTTTTTTCTTGAAGAGGCCTATAATATCATATGGCTTTGAAATTGTATTGGCAGGTTTTGTTTTGTTTTTTAATGAGAAAAAAATAAATTAACTATCCCTGCCTGCAAGCAGATATTATCTGCTTTCTTCTAAATAACTGTTTAAAGTATCTGGCCCAGGATTGTGTAAGAGATTTGTTTTTATGTCTTCGGGAAATAGTTAACAGTCTAGTTCAGGACTTCACACTACTTGTCTGGATTACTGCAACAATTTCTAACTTGATCCCAGACTGCGGTTCTCACACTCCACCCTCCATCCATTTGCCACACTCCTACTGGCACTGTCCTTCAGAAAAACAGATCTGATCATGCCAATCCACTGGTCAAAACCCTTCAAAGGTTTTAGGAAAAGTGCCAAATCAGCAAGGCATGCAGAGTTCTGTCCTGGCCTTACTTCTCATCTCATTCTATTCTCACTTTGCTTTCCAGCTTCACTACTCCAGGAGTCACACTCTAAGTTACCACTCAGATGTGCCTCTCTGCCTTTGAACCAGCTGCTCCCAAGTGTATAATGTCATCCCTGGAACTCCCTGCCCTTTCCAAGGTTTGCTCTTATTCATCTTCAGTTCATGTGCCACTTTCTCTAGAAACCAACCCAAATTGTCTCATCCAGGAAAGATGATCCTCGTAAGTGTTCCAATAATACTTGTGCATATGTTTAGAATGGCAGCTATCACACAGTACTGTATTTTAATCAACTCTTCATTAGCCTGTATTTTCCACTGGCATGGAAGTTCTAAAGAGCACCATTTTATCCAGAGCCTAGCAAATATCCTGGTAAGTAGAAGACACTAAATAAAAATTGGTCAAATTCTGGAAGAACAAAAGGAAGAATGAAGGAATAAAATCTTTGCATTACATTATGCTTATTTATTTTTCTGGTTTCAAGAATTATTTTTTTCCTTTCTATCCTTCTGAGAAAACAAAGTAGATTTAAAAAAGAAGTTGAACTCAAAAAAAGTTTAGACAAGCTAAAAGGAATTAAAGAATGACACACCCATTTAAGAACTAAATATTAAATTTGCTTATGCAGTCATCATTCAGATGATTTTGTGACCCATTGTACTATGTACACTATATTTTCTCATTCAGAGCATCAAAAATAAAAATATCAACCTCAGTTTGTGACCAATGAATCTGTCTCCAGTTATCCCATAAATATTGGTAATTTTAAGAATAAAAATTATTTTAAATTCACTTGCATACACAAGAATTAACACAATCTTCTTTAACACTTTTGGTGTTTGCAGTCGGGTTTGCAATCTTCCTCCAATTTGAAACAATCTGCTTGCAGAGTTTGTAAGTTTTCACTTGATTCCTTTTATTCCTGCATAAGCAATGACAGTTCAGAGTTCAATCTTTTATTCTAATGACAATAAATCCAAATTGGGTCCAAATCTTGTACTTCTTCACACCTTTTACCCACGCTTAGTATAATACTGGCAAACCGAATCCAGCAGCACATCAAAGAGCTTATCTGCCATGATCAAGTGGGCTTCATCCCTGGGATGCAAGGCTGGTTCAACATACGCAAATCAATAAACATAATCCAGCATATAAACAGAACCAAAGACAAAAACCACATGATTATCTCAATAGATGCAGAAAAGGCCTTCCACAAAATTCAACAGCCCTTCACACTAAAAACTCTCAATAAATTAGGTATTGATGGGATGTATCTCAAAATAATAAGAGCTATTTATGACAAACCCACAGCCATTATCATACTGAATGGGCAAAAACTGGAAGCATTCCCTTTGAAAACTGGCACAAGACAGGGATGCCCTCTCTCACCACTCCTATTCAACATAGTGTTGGAAGTTCTGGCCAGAGCAATCAGGCAGGAGAAATAAAGGGTATTCAATTAGGTAAAGAGGAAGTCAAATTGTCCCTGTTTGCAGATGACATGATTGTATATCTAGAAAACCCCATTGTCTCAGCCCAAAATCTCCTTAAGCTGATAAGCAACTTCAGCAAAGTCTCAGGATACAAAATCAATGTGTAAAAATCACAGGCATTCTTATACACCAATAACAGACAGAGAGCCAAATCATGAGTGAACTCCCATTCACAATTGCTTCAAGGAGAATAAAATACCTAGGAATACAATTTACAAGGGATGTGAAGGACCTCTTCAAGGAGAACTACAAACCACTGCTCAATGAAACAAAAGAGGACACAAACAAATGGAAGAATATTCCACGCTCATAGATAGGAAGAATCAATATTGTGAAAATGGCCATACTACCCAAAGTAATTTATAGATTCAATGCCATCCCCATCAAGCTACCAATGACTTTCTTCACATAACTGGAAAAAACTACTTTAAAGTTCATATGGAACCAAAAAAGAGCCCACATTGCCAAGTCAATCCTAAGCAAAAAGAACAAAGCTGGAGGCACCACGCTACCTGACTTCCAACTATACTACAAGGCTACAGTAACCAAAACAGCATGGTACTGGTACCAAAACAGAGATATAGACCAATCGAACAGAACAGAGCCCTCAGAAATAATACCACACATTTATAACCATCTGATCTTTGACAAACCTGAGAAAAACAAGCAATGGGGAAAGGATTCCCAATTTAAGAAATGGTGCTGGGAAAACTGGCTAGCCATATTTAGAAAGCTGAAACTGTATCCTTCCTTACAACTTATACAAAAATTAATTCAAGATGGATTAAAGACTTAAATGTTAGACCTAAAACCATAAAAACCCTAGAAGAAAACCTAGGCATTACCATTCAGGACATAGGCATGGACAAGGACTTCATGTCTAAAACACCAAAAGCAATGGCAACAAAAGCCAAAATTGACAAATGGGATCTAATTAAACTAAAGAGCTTCTGCACAGCAAAAGAAACTACCATCAGAGTGAATAGGCAACCTACAGAATGGGAGAAAATTTTTGCAATCTACTCATCTGACAAAGGGCTAATATCCAGAAACTACAAAGAACTCAAACAAATTTACAAGAAAAAAATAACCCCATCAACAAGTGGGTGAAGGATATGAACAGACACTTCTCAAAAGAAGACATTTATGCAGCCAAAAGACACAGGAAAAAATGCTCATCATCACTGGCCATCAGAGAAATGCAAATCAAAACCACAATGAGATATCATCTCACACCAGTTAGAATGGCGATCATTAAAAAGTCAGGAAACAACAGGTGCTGGAGAGGATGTGGAGAAATTGGAACACTTTTACACTGTTGGTGGGACTGTAAACTAGTTCAACCATTGTGGAAGACAGTGTGGTGATTCCTCAGGGATCTAGAACTAGAAATACCATTTGACCCAGCCATCCCATTACTGGGTATATACCCAAAGGATTACAAGTCATGCTGCTATAAAGACACATGCACACGTATGTTTATTGTGGCACTATTCACAATAGCAAAGACTTGGAACCAACCCAAATGTCCATCAATGATAGACTGGATTAAGAAAATGTGGCACATATACACCATGGAATGATATGCAGCCATAAAAAAGGATGAGTTCATGTCCTTTGTAGGGACATGGATGAAGCTGGAAACCATCATTCTCAGCAAACTATTGCAAGGACAAAAAACCAAACACGCATGTTCTCACTCATAGGTGGGAATTGAACAATGAGAACACTTGGACACAGGAAGGGGAACATCACACACTGGGGCCCATTGTGGGCTTGGGGGAGGGGGTAGGGATAGCATTAGGAGATATACCTAATGTAAATGACGAGTTAATGGGTGCAGCACACCAACACGGCACATGTATACATGTGTAACAAACCTACATGTTGTGCACATGTACCCTAGAACTTAAAGTATAATTAAAAAAACACTGTTATCTTTTAGTAAGACATACTCTTAATAGCTTTCCTATAAGCCTTACAAACTGTGGGATCTACTATAAAAAGTATAGACTTTTAAAACAATAATAAGGCTAATAGTGTTCAATTAATAGGCTTTGTGTCAAGAAATCATTGATTAAGAATTTCCACTACACCTCATACGCTTAAAACTCTCTTTAAAAAAGTTTTAGCTTTAAAGAGCCAAACTCTCCTTTTTAGCTAACATATTTCATGTTTGCATTGAATGAAAAATTATATTCCTGAAACATTTGAAACAAATCTGTTTTACCAGGGTAGGGTTTGGGGGCTTTTCTTTAGGTATAGAAGTAAAAAAATGACAATTTGTCAAAACTGTATTTTGTCATTTTTACAAAAACAACTGAAAAGTGGCTGAAGCTTGTAGATTTCTGTGTGGATAGACTTCATTGAGAGGTAATTCTAATGAAACACGTGACAAATAATAAACTGATGTTAACTGTGATTTGAAAACGCTTCATGAGCAACTGAGAAAAAGATTCTTAAATATTTCCTGAATAAGCTTGTCAAGATAAGCCACTTAGGCACTTATAAAATGAATAAAGTTAAGTGACACAAGCTGTAACAGTGCCCATTTCCACTTAGATGTCAAGCAAGGATGCAGGTGTGCCTCTATACGTAGTTCTAGAAAAGACCATGCATTGGTCAGGAAAATGAGCACAAGAGTCACACTTTTTTGAGAATTGAAGTACTTAGTGTTTTCTAGAAATGCCCAAAAAGAGATAATCAGGCCCAGCATTAAATATTTATTACAGCCTCTCCAATACATCTTTCTAGTTTTCTATTCCATCATCCTATTTACAGATTCTACTCTCTAGTCAAACCAAACTCCTCCCTGAACACTCTATCTAATATTGTCCACCCCATTTGTGCTCTATCATATTACTCCTGTTTTGTTTTATTCATAATACTTATCACTATCTGAAATTATCTAATTGATTTGTTTACCATCTATCTCTTGTCTCTCAGAATGTAAGCCTCATGAGAGCAAAGATTTGACCTTATTTAAGTGCTGGATCTCCAGGGTCTAGAACAGTGTTTGTCACATACTAGCTGCTTTATAAATATTTATGGAATGAATGAACTATTTCCCATAAACATCTGAACTTCATTGCCTCCGTGCCATGACACTTAAAGTTTTCTCTAAGTAGAATGCCTATATGCTCCACCAACTATGTCTTCATCATCTAGCTGAAATTTCATAGCAGTTATGCTTGTCAAGAGTTGCCAGTGTGAAACTACAGCTCCCCTTCTAGAGTGGAAAATATTTAGGGGCGTTAGCTTTTTATGGTTTGTTTTTTCAAACACACACACACACACACACACACACACACACACACACACACACACACACTAGCAGGGTATCACTCAGTATCTATTACATTAATGAATGAAACTGTTGTCCCATTCAAATTCTACATATGATTTCAACTTAGCTAGAATTTAGCAAGAAAAGTGGGTCTATCATTTGGTTAGTGCTGTAGAAGGGCAGGAGAAATATATAAATTACATGTGTTCAATCCACACAGAAACAGCTAGAGTTGCAAAATTCTGATGTAAATTCAGATCGTTAGCAAATAAGCCTGATGTAATTTCGTCATTTTAAGCTTAGCTGTCCACTGCTGGCTCCTGGGATATAGCCAAACTTCCCGTGGCATTGCAGTGGGAGTCTGGGAAAAAAAAAGAAGGAAAAAAAGAACAAAAACCAGAATCTTCCCAAGCTTAAATAAATCTGTAGGGGCCTCCTGTCTGTGGGTTTATGTCAGGGTGACCTCTGCTCTGCCCTAGTTGGTGAATCGGGCTTGAACAGGTCATACGTGATTTATGGAGGCAGGAAGAGAAATGCTTTTGTTCATCCCTTGAACTGAAGGGTCTTAGTACCAGGTCAGTCATTCTAATCCCACTCTTCTTTTTTTTTGGTCATCAAATTACACTTTCTCAGCCCCCTCTCTCCATGCACTCAGTCTCTAATAGCCTATTCAGTAATGAGATAAATTATTTCAACTACACTCTAAACAAGAATTCTCATGAGTTATAGTGAGTTTGACTATAAAAAGTATCAATGTTTAATCTCATGCTTTTTCCCTGTATTACTTCCAGTCTCATTCTTTGCCTTATAACACAGAAGTATGCCCTTTTATTTCAAGTTGCTATAAAACTAGTCTTTGGCTGGATCTAGAGGTGAATGAAATCTGTGGATGATAGTATAGTTGGTGCATTTATTTTGGCTTTTTTGACAATAAGTGTGAATAGTGAGTTACAAATTGGCCAGTGATTCCCAAGGCTCCTTTTGTGATACCTAGGTCAGCCATGACAAATAACCCCAAAGGGTATCATAAAATCCTTAAAACTAAATTAATCTAGATTTACCTTAACATTTCTAAAATAAGTATGGGACAACCGCATTCCTTGACACAAAACATAACAAAACTTGCTGTATCTACAAATAGAATAGTAACTATTATTCCCAGAGACAGACCTAGTTCATTTCATTAATATCACTCAGTTTCTTTCCACAGAGTTTAGATGCTTCATGATGATGATGAATTATTATTGGCTGCATTCAAAGCCTTTGTATTTAAAAATATTCTCCCTTCTTTAAGCCCTTGTAATTAGAAATCCAAATACCCGTCTTTCTTTAAGCCCCTGTTATTAGAAGCCAGATGTATCAGGGAGAGTTACACAGTCAACTATTAGGAGTTGCAACAAGTGTTACTTCCAGGCTTTAGGTTGGCTTGCTAACATTCGAAGACAGTGCAAGAGTTACTCTGTGGTGGAGACAGAGAAATGCATGTTCATTGACACTAATCAATTCAACTGACGCTGGTGAGATTCAGATATGAGTATGGCTTATTCATAAGACTCCCTTCAAATATAGTTTAAAACACCTAAACAAATTGGGACATAAATTAGAAACAAGTGGAGAAGACAAGGAAAGCCTCAATCCCACCTAAAAGTGCACAAAGCTGGAAAGTATTTTGATTAGTACCAGTGAACTTAACACAAATACTATTTAATACTTATTTACTTAATAATGCTTAGAACCTCTTAGTTAGCATTTATTTAGTACTTACTGTGTACCAGGAATTATCTGAAGTCCTTTAACACATTTATCATTTAAACCTCACAGCAGCCTTATGTGGTAGGCTGTTATTGTTGTTTTAACCATTTTACACATGAAGAAGCTAAGACACAAAGAGAACAAGCAACTTGCCCCATATCATATGCCATTAAGTGGTGGAGCTAGGGTTCATAGCCAGAGATTTATAGCTCCAGAATCCATGCTCTAAGCCACTTTGCCTAAGGGGTACAGGTCATTTCTATAAACTTTAGTAAGAGGTATCTTGAAATTACAGAATATACAAGAAGCATTGCACACAAATGAGGAAAATAATACCAATTCAATGGGTTAAGTTACTGCAAACAATAACCTCGAAGAGTGTGCAGACGTATGTCGATCAGTACAGACTGATGTTCTCAACAAGAGTACGATATCTGCATCATTACAAATGAAGACTTCCACAGTTACCAAAATAAAAAGCCATTAAAAAAAATCTACAAAAAAATTGTACATTTGTGTGGACAAATCTAATTTCTAAGAAACATGATAAATACTACAATGATGGATTCTCCTCAGTTAGACATGTCATTCTTAGTGTGGTAACCTCAAAGAGGTAGGCAAGAGAAGAAATGAATCAATGTCAAGTATCTCAATAAGACATCATTGAAATAACATCATAATAATCATGAAGGCACTGGAAGTATTTTGTAGAAGTATCACTGCTCTTTTAATGTCACCCATCTCTTGAGAATAATGTCTTGGCTGGGCATCATGGCCCATGCCTGTAATCCCAGCACTTTGGGAGGCTGAGGCAGGAGGATTGCTTGAGCCCAGGAGTTCAAGATCAACCTGGGCAACACAGTGAGAACTCATTTCTATTTTTAATAAATAAATAAAATGTAAAACAATTTTTAAGTAAAGAATAATGTCTACATCTATTGTCAACACAAAAACTCCTTTAGATAATAGGAGGTGCCATAATCAGTGAAGAGTAGATTAGTGTTCTATTACTAGTTAATTGCTTTCTTTGTTCTTTTACTTAAGCTACCATTTCATATTTGTTCATTCTTCCTTCTTTCTCCTCATTGCATCTACATATGTGGTAATTATATAGAGTCTCCAAGACAGGCATCTAAGCCAAGCATGCCCAGTTAAGGCAGCTAGACATGCCTGTATTGGTGAGTTCTGCCATATATCAGTATTCACTTGGTAGAAGCAATCAAAATTATAATATAAAGATTACTTTAAGAGGTCAGTTCTAGAGGATCATGACTTGAAAAATCAATGCTTTGAGGCTAACGGAACCTCAAAATCATGGGTATTATTAAATAAATAAAATTTAACTATTCAACAGCAGGAAATGTCACAGATGTCATTACAGTTCTTCCTGAGAATAGTAATACCCAAATGCCCATGTTAGCAACCAAGATAATAAATGGAAGGAACTGTTTGCCTTATAAGACACAAGTTTGATATTACAGTCAGTGAGATAATAACAAGAAATATATCATTTCTAATGTATTCAATTACTTAGAAGTTCACTTAGATAATTATATACCTTTAACTAAAAATCTTGTTTTGTATATTAGAACTACCAATCTTTCATTAATATTGATTTTTGTAAAGAAAAAAATGCAAAATTAAAAACTGAATTAAAGCTGCAAATGAGAAATAAATTACATAAGCACACTTAACCATCTAAATTAATAATGTAATAGTGTAATATAATAATGCTGAATTATATGATATTACAATTAGGGTATTAGAGATATTGCATCCAAATAAAATTGCCCGAACTAAAAATGTGAAAGTATAAAATATTTCTGAGGAAATAATGTATTTAACTCACTCGGTCATTCAACAAAAATTTTTTTTTTAGACGGAGTTTTACTCTTGTTGCCCAGGCTGGAGTGCAATGGCACAATCTCGGCTTACTGCAACCTCCGCCTCCCAGGTTCAAGCGATTCTCCTGCCCCAGCCTCCCGAGTAGCTGGGATTACAGGCATGCACCACTACGCCCGGCTAATTTTGTATTTTTGGTACAGACAGGTTTTCTCCATGTTGGTCAGGTTGGTCTCAAACTTCTGACCTATTTAATGAGGATCTATAAAAGAGAATGTGTTGTACTCCAAACTTTTGATAAGTATTAATATATTAACTCATTGTATTTATTTATTCATATAGGCTATTATAAATACAATAAGCATTATTCTTCTTCTTGAATGCATTTAATATACTCAATGATGAAACCATTTAGAAAATATCATATTGTTTTCTCAAGATGTTGTCCCCAGGGCTCATCTTTATTTGTAGAAAATGCACATTCAAAACTTAGGGGTCAGCCAGGCGCTGTGGCTCACGCCTGTAATCCCAGCACTTTAGGAGGCCAAGGCAGGTGAATTGCTTGAGCTCAGGAGTTCGAGACCAGCCTGGGCAATATGGTGAAACCCAACTCTACTGAAATACAAAACTTAGCTGGGCATGGTGGCACATGCCTGTAATCCCAGCTACTAGGCTAAGACACAAGACCGCTTGAGCCAGGGAGGCAGAGGTTGCAGTGAGCTGAGATCATGCCACTGCATTCCAGCCTGGGTGACAGAGTGAGACTCTGTCTCAAAATAAATAAACAAACAAATTAATTAATTAATTAAAATTAGGGGTGATGGGCAATGTTGGCAACTTACTCCCAAATGATTCAAAAGAAAAACATTACTGCACCTTTTCTGTATGAGATTTCATTTTCAAAACACATTTTTAAAAATTTTAAAAAGAAGAAAAAAAGCTAAAAATTGAACGCTTTAAGACTTTTGAATGGTTCCACTAAAGAATTAAGCCTAAGACTTTCTTGCTTTGCCTTCCACAAGGTAAACCCTTTTCCATTTTAGGGATTTTTGCATTTTCTGTTTTCTCTGCAGAGATACCTTACCCTGAATGTGTGCATGGATTTGTTCCTCACTGCACTAAGGTCTCTACTCTAATATCTTATCCTCTTCTCTGGCATTACGTTCCTCCATCATTCTCCATCCTTTTCTCTGCTGCAACAGACTATTATGTGAGTCTGCTTTGGACCACTGGATTTGAAATAACAAAAAGGAATTCATGTGTAATAGACTTAGCATTAAGATGACTCTATGACACGGATCCTGAAACAAATTGTAGCGTTATTCATCCATATACATCAATAAAAGTTCTATTTCCAGACATAATGACATTTGCTGGTTTGGAAACTGTTTCCATCATAATATTAAAGAATATTACTTTTATTAAAAGTATCTTGGAGGTCTGATGGCATTTGCTAATTGAATTTGAAAGTCAAGTACAATGAGATGTTCACTCTTAATCACTATATATGTGGGTTTTAAAGTTAGGAAGACCGGGCTTCAAATCTCGGGCCTGCAACTAACTAGCTGTATGAACATACCCCTGAAACTATTCTCCATGTACCCTAAAACTTAAAGTATAATAAAAAAAAAAAAAGAAAAGAAAAATAAACAAGAAAAAAAAAAAGCACCAAAAACCTTCTTTTGGTTAAAGCAAAGAGACATATTCCAGTTCCTATGTTATTGCACCACTCTGAATCATTTGATGCCGATGACAACTTTTTTATTTCCAGAAATTTTTTTTCTATATTTTTGGCTGCTTCTTGTCAGTGACCTTTGCAGACTCTTCTTTTCTTTGTCTTTCAAATATTGATATTCCCCAGAACTAGTCATTTTTTCTCCTCATTTAACATTCTTTCTTGGAGCTATCATCTTGTCCCATGCTCAGACTTGCAACATATTAACTTAGCTTACAGCTGTCTCTTAAGGACCAGATCCATGTATGCAACTATCTACTCAACATCACCATATAAATTTCCCAGAGACACATCAAATGGATTATGTCCAAACAGCAATTGTGCAACCCCTTCACACTTGGCCTATTTTCTATTGTCGCCTGTGTGAATGTAGGTACTATGATCCACTCAGTCACCCATTTCATAAAGCTGTACCATTCACTACTCCACTTTCACCTGCACCCTTTCCTTCTCTGATCAATCACCAAATCTTGGCATATCTGCTGCCTGTGTGTCTCTCAATCTGTCTACTTCCCTTCAACTCCACTGCCATTACCCTAGTTCAGGGGGAGAAATCATCTCTCTCGGATCACCATAACAGTCTTTTATCTCCTCTCCCTGCAGATCGGTCTTGCTCCTTCTAATCTATTCTTCATAGTGCAAATAGAGATGTCTGTGTAAAACTCAAGTCTGACCAGGTTACTTCCTTTTTAAATTCCCTTGGCTTGCTATTTAGAGCCCACAGGACATAGGTCTACCCACATTATATGGCCCTCATTATCTGATCTTTGCTTCCCTTACCATCTCTTCTCTAAGTGCTCTTCCCCTTTCATTTTATAATTAAAAATGAACTGAAACTACTTATGGTTTCAACTCCAGGCCTTTGTTCACACTATTCTCTTTGCCTCTGAGACAGAGCAGGAACTCTGCTTAGGACCCTACCTGTCCCCCTTCCCCAAGCATAAAAATAAAGGAAAATCTCGAGTTCCTTCAAGAGAAATTCCAGGCACCTAGTTGTCCTTAGAAAGCAAATAAACAACATGATGTAAACAAAAAGATAACAACAGCTTAGCCGGGGGAGGATCACAAGGTCAAGAGTTCGAGACCAGCATGGCCAATATGGTGAAACCCCATCTCCAATAAAAATATAAAAATTAGGCAGGCATGCTGGCACGCACCTGTAGTCCCAGCTACTCAGGAGGCTGAGGCAGAAGAATCGCTTGAACCCGGTAGGCAGAGGTTGCAGTGAGCCAAGACCATGCCACTGCACTCCAGCCTGGGTGACACAGTAACACTTCATCTCAAAAAAAAAAAAAAAAAGAATAGCTTAGCCAGGCAAGGTGGCTCACACCTGTAATCCTAGCACTTTGGGAGGCTGAGGCGGGTGGATCACCTGAGGTCAGGAGTTCGAGACCAGCCTGGCCAACATGGCGAAACCCCGTCTCTACTAAAAATACAAAAATTAGCCAGGCGTGATGGCGGGTGCCTGTAACCCAAGCTACTTGGGAGGCTGAGGCAGGAGAATCACTTGAACCTGGGGGTGGAGGTTGCAGTGAGCCGAGATTGTGCCACTGCACTCCAGCCTGGGCGAAAGAGTGAAACTCCATGTCAAAAAGAAAAAAGAATAGCTTAAAACAACAGCCAAGAAAGTTAGAATCCCCATATGTTTGGATTCCTCTAAAAAACAAAGATAACGTCTTATCATATGTCCCTGAGTTGCTTTTTAACAACCTGGACCCCCACCAAATGGAAAATGCTGTCCACTGGCACATAAACCTACAATTAGGGAAAACTGAGGACTGAACTCTGACTGCTGTTCTTTGTTCTAAATTTCTTCCCGAGGAACCTAAGGAAAGTCACGCTCACAGGTCAGACCTCAACATTCCTTTCCACTGACCTCTAGATTTTAGATGAAGTTTTATTTCCTGAATCAATTGCAAATCAAAAAATCTTTAAATCCACCTATGATTTGTAAGTTCTTGCTTCAAGATATCTCATCTTTGGGGGGCCAAACCAATGTATAACTTCCATGTATTGATTTATAATTTTGCCTGTAAGTTCTGATTTCCTAAAATTGACTCCTGCCTTTAAAAATTCTTACTTGTAAACCATCAGAGAGGTTGGGTCTTAAGTGTGAGCTGGCCAATTCTCCTTGCTTGGTGCCCTACAAATAAACTCCCTTCTTTCTCTCACTTCCAAACATGGTGTAGATGTTTGGCTTTCCTGCACCAACTGAGTGGGTCCAGGTTCAGTTTGCTAACAATTTAGTGGTGACCCAGATGGGATGAAAATCCTGAGTGGACATCTCACCCAAGGCACATTGGCCCCTGGCCAAAGCCACCCTTGGATCCCATTAGCAGCTGCCGTAGCCATTCTACTCAGGGAAAGATCCATGTGTTTGGCTGCCATCCCTGGCCCATGATGCTTTCACCTTTGCACATTAGAAACAGACATTTGGCTTGGAAGACATCTTTGGTAAGTGGCAAATTCATATGTGATGGCATCAAGGTGTTTTCCCTGCAAACACTTGGTTCTGCTTCATCAGAGCATTCAGTTTGAGGGTGGAGATATACCCTAGGGAGTCGAAGGGATTGAGACCTTGAGAAACTTCATTTGATTTTGATTTGCTTAAAATCTGTTTGACTTGCTTAAAACTGTTTAGAGACTGGCCAAGGCACTAAGGTTTTATCACCTATGGTTTCGTCATCTAAAATGGAAAACACAAGTTTTAGTCCTCCTTATAGCCCATTGGGGTATATTCTGCAAAACTGGGCCATTTTTAGTTTCAGCCCATTTAAAAAAGAAGAAAAAAATGAGCTCTTATTACAGCACTACCTAGCCATGATATTCCCTGGGAGCTGAGGAAAGGTGGCCAGAAAACGGGTGTTTAAATTATGTTACAATTTTTCAATTAAAATTGTTTTGTAAACACAAAGTTGAATGAAATAAAATTCTATATATACAAGCTTGTATGCTTTTGTACCAAAGCAAACCAATTCATAAAAAACATAATTTACATAAAACCATGGTTCAAAGAGATGCCCCTAGGATAGGAGGGGTAAAACAGGTTTTACCTGGTTCTAAGGAATCAGACAATGACTTACTGCTTCAACAAATGAATGTGCCCAATGCTCCTCTCTCCACCCTATGGGGGGCAAGATGTGGGAGCTGGGGCAATGGTCCTTCTAGCACAGACAGAAATGGGAACCCTTATTACCCTGGCTGGATTGGGGAATAATAATGATAGAGACAGACTGGAAGGAGAAATGCACTCTCCTTCATACACCTGACAGGGTAGTCAATTTCGTCAGGGAGCCACTCTGGTTGAGACAGGGCAATTCCCATTAAGGCAAATACCCACTGATGGAATCAATGCCCAGGGTCAGCAGGCAGGACTTGTACAGGTGCACACCCCATTCTCTATCTCTGCCTTATACAATTGAAGGAATAACATGACTACCTACTGGGATGACTCAAGAACAATACAAAATTTGTTCTCCTCCATTTTTGCTAGTCATAATTCTAATTGAGCTGGTGTGCAAAATTTACTAAATACTTTGTTTACCTCTGAAGAGCAGAGAATAGTCCGAGAAAACCCTTGGAAATAAGTGGGCCAGGAACATGTCGAGGCTCCTAGAAATCTGGTTCAGGCAGCTGCTGCGGAGGCTGTCCCAACCACAGACCCCAGACGGAATACAAACCATGTGAGTCAAGCACATCTAGAGCATTATAGAGATTGTATTTTAGCAGGCCTTAGAAAAGAAACCCAAAACAGCATAGCTTTTTTAATAAAGTTCAAGAATTATGACAGAGGCTGAATGAAAACCCACCTGAGTATTTGGTGATAATTTTTGTCAGAAGTCTTTGGTTGGTTCACAGTATTAGGCCTGAAAGATACATTTTTCTACATCCCCCTCATCTCAAACCTCAAGAGGTCTTTGTTTTTGAATGACAAAATCCAGAAACAAAAAATACACACCAATATTACTAGACTCTATTTCCACAAGTGTTCAAACCCCTCTCCCCCATCTCGTTTGGAGAAGTGCTGGCAATAGACCTAAGGGAACTCCAGTTACAAGAGGGCTCTCCTTTAATATGTAGATGGCATAATGATAGTAAGTAAAACCTGAAAAAGCTCAAATAAAAATACTATAACCACTTTAAATTTCCTGGCTGAGAGAGGCTATGAGGTATGCCAAAAAAGAGTGAATTTCTCAGCCCTCCGTAAAGTCTATAGGATTTAAATTAACAGGAGACAGAAGGAGGCAGTAGCAAGGGTTAGCCATCCAACCACCAAAAGACAATTATTAGGGTTGTTAGGAATGGCTGGATTTTGCTGTATATGGATTCCTCATTTCAGGTTGATGGCAAAACTCCTATATAGTGCCCTAAAAGAAACCAACCATGAGCCTGTAGTATGGACTAACAAATGCCAAAAAGCCTTTTGAATGATTTTTTTTTAATTTTTGACAGCTCTGGCTTTAGTACTGCCATATTTTTAAAAGCCATTAGATCTGTTTGTACATGAAAGACAAAAAATAGGATTGAGGGTATGTACCCAAAATCTAGGAGATGCTAAGTGTCCTGTGCCACACTTTTCAAAGACTTTGGATAGCATAACCCACGAATGGCCATTGTGCCTCAGGGCAGTAGCCACCACCTGTGACTTACTACAAAAAGGTAAAAATTCACCTGGGGACAGCCCAAAGCCATACATCCCCTACATTGTGTATTATCATTATTAGAACAAAAAGGTGGTTATTGGCTTACTTCAGGTCGGCTGGGAAAATACCAAGCAATTCTCTTGGATAATCTTAATGTGACACTAAGGACTGTGTTCACCTTAAATCCCACTGCCCCACTCCCTAACCCATCAGAGGAACCTAGGCATAACTGATTATTGATTATTAAACAAGCCTATTATAGTCACCCTGACCTGACAGATGTGCCCTCGGAAGAACCGAATCTGGAGATGTTCACAGATAACAACAGTTGCATGGATCAGAAAAATCAGAAAGCTGGATGTGTGGTGTTAACTTTGAAAGATATTATAAAAGCTAAAACACTGCTCAGAAGGCAGAACTAATAGCCCTCACCCATGCCCTTCACCAGAAAAAAGACAAAAAGTTAAACATTTACACTTATTTAAAGTGTGTCTTCTCCGTGATACATGCACATGGGGCCACTTTTTAAAATAAGGGGCTGTTAACATCAGGGGGGACAAACAAATGTGAACAAAAATTTCTTTAATTACTAAATGTGGTATTAAAACCCAAAACGATGGCAACCATACATTGCCCAAGCCATCAAAAATCAAACTGTTCAGTATTTCATAAAAATAACAAAACAGACCAGACTGCTAAGTTAGCTGCCTGGCCAAAAACTCCCACTGTTATAGCCTGGTTCCACATAGAGAGTTGGCCACTTTTTATTCAACATATCCCACAAAGATTTAAGATGAATAAAAAATTCAGGTTTCAATGTAATGGCCCTAAAACCTAACTCCTGGACTACAAGCCAGCGGAAAAAAAAAAAAATAGTCCTGATCCCTAAAATTTTGATTAAAAAAATAATTCAATTTATTAGAACACCTACTATAACAATTGTACCATGATTAAGTGGATCCAGAATTACATCATAGATCTTACTATGCAAAGGACTATACAAAAGGTTATAGAAAAATGTATACACCGTGCAAAAAACAATTCAAACTCAGGTTCACCCACACCAAAAAAGGATATAAGCAAGAGGTGACACACAGGGGGAAGACTGGCAAATAAGCTTAATATAATGCCAAGAGCAAAAAACAAAATTAATATTCAGTAATAATGGTGAACACATTTATCAGATGGGTGAAAGCCTTTCCCTGTTTTACTGAGAGGACTTCAAAAATAATAAAAGCTTTACTAAAAAAAAAATTATCCCCAGATTTAGATTGCCATTCACCATACAGAGTGATAACGGCAGTGCCTTTATTGTCAAGGTAACCCTGGAGTTATCCAGATAGCTGAAAATTAAATAAAAATTACAGACTCCAGTCCACTAAAAAGACTAAACAAACAAGCAAACAAATAACACACCTTGGAAGAAGATGTTACAAAATGTTTTCAGGAAACAAGTCTCACATAGGGAAAGATATTGCCAGTTACACTGCTTAAAATTAGAGAGGCTCCTAAAAGCAGGCTTCAAGTTCTTATGAAATCTTGTATGAAAGACCCTTCCTATAGTCTGCACCAATAGGCAAACAGATAAATGATTTAAAAATCAGAATTAGACACTGTCAAGTATATACAGTTTTGGGGTGTAACTTTAAATGCCATCCATAAATTTGCCTCTAATAGGATGATACATCCCACGGATATTCCTCTCCATAAAATAAAGCCAGAAAACTGGGTGCCTCTCAAAACTTGGAGAGATATCCATTCCAGAGACCAGCTTAAACCACAGCGGATGAGGCCATATCAGATTTTATTAATAGCATGCTATTCTATTAAATTTTTTAAAAATAAGCTGTATATTCTTCATTCTCAGATAAAGCCAGTTCCTGATCCAGCTGTGGACCCACAAGACCCAGCCAATCAAACTTTTAAAGACCCAGCTCCTGCTAATTCCCGCTATTCCTATGAGCCACGATCAGGCCTTAAATTAAAAATTATTTTTAAAATCTATAAATAAATAATGACTAATTCCTGGCCCTACATATTTACATATTATATATAGGGACAATTTATTAATTTCCTGTTTGCTTAGCTCCTTATATTTGCTGCGCAAACCTTTTAACCATTTGGCTTGCAAATTTGTAATTAAAAATAAAACTTGTTATTTGTTCTAAAATTATATAGATTATATTTTATTTTTTCACTAAATTATAGTAATAATGCAACACCTTAGGTATCTTTATTTTACTAAAAATTAATAAAAATTTCAGTTCATAACAAAATTAAATATATATTATATATGTATATTACTTACTATAACATTCTAGTTGTTCCTCTAGAAATTGGCCAACAAGATTTTTGTTTATATCATTGCTTCTTTGACCCTTACACTTGCATAAAAATATAACTCTATAGTTAAAGTTTTCCAATCTCTGGCCTCTTCAGGAAATTTAACCAATTACTAAATATGTCATCACAAACTATTTCTGGTTCATGACTATACGGACCCTTTAATCATGCCTGTAACTAACTTTACGGTTGTTCCTAAGTTTACCATAAGGTAAAATAAAGAGCACCCCCAATCTTGTGACCTATTGAGTAAAGGTTAACAACCCAAGACCCTATGTCTCCAGTTCCCTGCTTCATCCTAACTCCTTTCTAAAAGAGCCTAAAGTTTGCTCTAAACCCTCCAAGCCTGTTAATTTCACCATAATTAACCAAGAGTTTCTTATTTTCTGACCAAACTAAAAAATGCTACATAAAAAAGACTAATGTTGTATGCCCCCTGCTTCTTAGAGCTTTCTTAATCAAGTTTGCTGGGGGAAAATAATCATACACTCTTCCTCTGTTTAGTACACTATCGGCTTGAGAAAAAAATATTAATAGCCCTTACTTCTATTACTACCATCCCCTAAAGTCCTGCTCAGAAATACCTCCAAACTCTTATCTTGGATCTTGTCAAATTCAGCAGCTCTTTACTACCAAACAACATTCAATGGAGAGAAAGAAGATACTAAAAATAAGGTGAAAAAAATTTTTAATTTTTTTAAAAAGAAAATCAATATAAACAATGTTCAAAAATAGACCCACTGGCTATGGATCTTTGATGTAATCCAACCCACAATGCCCTGACACAAGACTCCAAGCTTAATCTGTACAGTATTTCTGGGTCCTCTGTACTCCTCCAAAATATCTACTTGTGAAAAGTACCCCAAAAGAAATCCCACTGGACTTATAAATATATTGACAATTGGTATATAGAAAACAAATTTGCCTGCTAGATTACTCAATTATCCCTCTTTCTATACATGAATCTGCTAAAACCAAACACTGAACTAGCTCCCTAAAATTACTTGATAGAACTAAACGGCCCACAAACTCACAATGCAGATTGTACCAAAAAGGTGGAGCTGGGTACTTCTTTGAGCACACATTGTTACATTGGTCAAGAGTAGTGTCCCATGAACATATAATTAAAAACCTCTCCCTAACTTAAAAAATTCTTACTGATAAAACTACATTGGCAATAGCTGCCCAGCAGAAAAAAAAAAAAAAAAAGTTAATTCATTGACTCAGGTTGTATTAGATAATAAAATAGTCTTAGAGTACATCTTACCTAAACCATATATATATATGGTTATAAATGTCACATGTTATGCTTATATAAATAAATCTGCAAACAATAAAAACTAATCTAAAAAAATGTTAAAACAAACCACTTGGTTATAACCAGTATCCCCAATATCCCCAACTGCCCCCAAGTATTGGTTTTCTTCCTTATTTTCTTAGATTCCTCATAAAATACAGTCCATGTCTTAAGGATTGCTGAAGTAAAAAAAAAAAAAGAAAAGAAAAGAAAAGGATTGCTGAAGTTAGACATATCAATCTTGCTAATTCTGTTTATGCTTTATATTATAACCAAATATATATAATGAAACAGTGACTAAAGGAATTAATATAATAACAGCTCCAAGTCAAGTTTCCATGCATGAAACTCATAAATATCTTGAGCGCCTTGCTAGAAACTTTCATTCCTCATATCCTACTCCCCAATCTTTGCCCCAATTCAACAAGAAGTAGCCAGAGTGCTCTCTACACCCTCTCAGGATTGAGAAATTATGAAAGACGGAGGACTGAAACAGAGCAGCAAACCCTCTTAGGGGCCCATAGGCTTAAAAAATAAAGTAAATAAAGTAAATTTTAAAAATAAAGTAAAATCTTGAGTTCCTTCAAGGGGCATTCCAGGTGCCTAGCTAGCTTTAAGAAGTAAATAAACAGCCTGATATAAACAAAAAGATAATAATAGCTCAAAACAATAACCAAAAATAATACAGCCACAAAATATTTGATTCTGTATAAAAACTAAAGATAACATCTTAACATACGTCCTTGAGTTGTTTATCAAAAACCCAACCCCCCCTCAAATGGAAAATGCTGTCTGTCCACTGGCAATAGGCCTCAGATAAAGGGAAACTGAAGACTGAACTCTGACTGCTGTTCTTTGTCCTAAATTTCTTCCTGAGAAGTCTAAAAAGAGTCATACCCACAGGCCAGACCTTAACATTCCTTTCTGTTGACCCTAAGTTTTTACACAAAGCTTTATTTCTATAACCAATTGCAAATCAAAGAATCTTTAAATCCATCTATGATCTCTAAGCCCCTCCTTCAAGACATCCCATCTTTTGGGGCCAAACCAATGTATTACCTCCGTGTAAGGATTAGTAATTTTGCCTGTAACTCCTGCTTTCCTAAAATTTACCCCTGCCTTTAAAACCTTTACTTGTAAGCCATCAGAGAGGCTGGGTCTTAAGTGTGAGCTGGCCAAATCTCCTTGCTTGGTGCCACACAAATAAACTCACTCCTTTCTTTCACTGCACAACATGGTGTAGATGTTTAGCCTTCCTGAGCCAAGCAGGCAGACCCAAGTTCGGTTCAGTAACATGTAGAATGTCTTTCCTTCTTCTTTGCTCGATATCTCCTAGTTGTCTCTCAATTTTATTCCAATATACATTAACAAAAAATTATAGAAGTACAACCAGTTGAAGGAGTGAAAGGGAGATGAAGAAAGGGACACAGAAATTGGCCCATGAAGGAAAGAAACACATAGGTTTGCAATTAGACGAAGTCAGAGGAGCTCAAAGAGGAATTGTTGTTTTTATAACACAGGACAAATGAGCATTTTTAAAGTTTAGTGGGAAGAGGTCAGGAGAATAGGTGAGGCTGCAAATAGAGGAGAGTAGGGGGAGCTGATGGGATGGGGTCTGTGAGGAGGCTGGATGGGATGAGACAGGAAGCACAGGGACGAGCCTCACATGGGTAGGGAAACATCTCTTCCATAGGGACTGTAGGGACCAGTGATTAATGGAGGCAGGCACAGGTGGTTTTGCTCTGTGGGGTGGGAGGACGTTGAGGGAGCTCCTATCTGATGGCCTCTGTTTCACAATGAGATAGAAGGAAAGGCTGCCTGATGGAATTGTGAAGGAAGCTGGTGAGGAAAGAGTTCAAGAGAGAATGGAATTCTGAAATGACCACAGAGGAGGATGGGAAGTAAGGGAGGATGGGAAACCAAGAGCTGAATTTGTTTCAATTATATAGTTTTTAAATTGTTTGCTATCATCATGGATTTTCCTAAACCTAAGCTCTGATAAGAAAACGTAATGCCACCTCTAGAGAATTGAGGCTTAAACCTGTAACATTGCCATGGGAGATCATTAATAAGCAACTTACAGCATTTGGAGTAAATTAATATTTTACTCTAGTGGTTTCTGACGCTCATTGAAAGTGAAAGTCATACCCTCAAAGGCCTTTCTTGAGAGTCAGAGACTATAGGCCTTGATAAGTTTATTTCATAAGAGTAATTAATGCTAAGGCAGAAACATAAAGGCATTTAACATTTGGGAGCACTGACTGGAACAGCCAAGTGACACTAGACATGTTCATAAAGGATCTAGCCAATCTGATTTTACTTCATTCAGAGTTGGTGAAACTGAAAATGTTAGCAGTTAACTTTTAACAAGAGATTTGAGATTAAATGTATTTATAATGAAATGCTAATGCTAGTTAATGGTTTTGCCTTTATATTAATAAACAAGTGATGCCTATGCCTCTTGTGACTGACCTGAAAACATCAACATTACAACTGCATAAATATCCTACTTTGTTTAAAGTATATCATTTTTCAGAAATATTGACTGCTTAAGTGATGATTTAAATAGTTACTGTGCTTATAACTTAATAATAATTTTTTAAAACCTGATTTTAAAATGAGCAAAGGATTTAGATAGATATTTCTCCAAAGAAAAATTGAAATGGCCCATAAGTACATGAAAAGATGCTCAGCATCATTAGTTATTAGGGAAATGCAAATCAAAACCACGATGAGATACCACTTCATACCCAGCAGGGTGGCTAGCATCAAAAAGACAGAAAATAACAAGTGTTGTCAAGGACATGGAAAAACTGGAACCTTCATGTATTGTTGGTGAGAATGTTAAATGGTGCCACCACTTTGGAAAATAGTTTGGCAGTTCCTCAAAACATAAATATATGACCTAGCAAGTCCACTCCGACATATATACACAAGAGAATTGACAACATAAGTCTACACAAAAAACTAATTGTCTTAGTCTGTTTTGTGTTGCTTTATAAAGGAATACCTGAGGCTGAATAATTTATAAGGAAAAGAGGCTTATTTCACTCACGGTTCAGCAGGCTGTACAAGAAGCATGGTGCCAGCATCTGCTGGGCTTCTGATGAGGGCTTCAGGCTGCTTCTACTCATGACAAAAGGCAAAGGAGGCCAGGCGCAGTGGCTCACACCTGTAATCCTAACACTTTGGGAGGCTGAGGCAGGCAGATCACATGAGGTCAGTAGTTCTAGACCAGCCTGGCCAACATGGCAAAACCCTGTCTCTACTAAAAATACAAAGATAAGCCAAGCATGGTGGTGTGCATCTATGTAATCCCAGCTACTCAGGAGGTTGAGGCATGAGAATCACTTCAACCCAGGAGACAGAGGTTGCAGTGAGCCGAGATTGCACCACTGCACTCCAGCCTGGGTGACAGAGCAACAAGATTCCGTCTCAAAAAAAAAAAAAAAACAACAAAAAAAAAACGTGCATATGAAGGGAGGAGCCAAGATGGCCGAATAGGAACAGCTCCCTCTACAGCTCCCAGGGTGAGCGATGCAGAAGACGGGTGATTTCTGCATTTCCATTTGAGGTACCATACCGGGTTCATCTCACTAGGGAGTGCCAGACAGTGGGCGCAGGTCAGTGGGTGCCCGCACCATGCGCGAGCTGAAGCAGGGCGAGGCATTGCCTCACTTGGGAAGCGCAAGGGGTCAGGGAGTTCCCTTTCCTAGTCAAAGAAAGGGGTGACAGATGGCACCTGGAAAATCGGGTCACTCCCACCCGAATACTGCGCTTTTCCGACCGGCTTAAAAAATGGCGCACCAGGAGATTATATCCAGGAACGTGGCTCCGCGGGTCCTACGCCCACGGAGTCTCGCTGATTGCTAGCACAGCAGTCTGAGATCAAACTGCAAGGCGGCAGCGAGGCTGGGGGAGGGGCACCTGCCATTGCGCAGGCTTGCTTAGGTAAACAAAGCAGCCCCGAAGCTCAAACTCAGTGGAGCCCACCACAGCTCAAGGAGGCCTGCCTGCCTCTGTAGGCTCCACCTCTGGGGGCAGGGCACAGACAAACAAAAAGACAGCAGTAACCTCTGCAGACTTAAATGTCCCTGTCTGACAGCTTTGAAGAGAGCAGTGGTTCTCCCAGCACGCAGCTGGAGATCTGAGAACAGGCAGACTGCCTCCTCAAGTGGGTCCCTGACCCCTGACCCCTGAGCAGCCTAACTGGGAGGCACCCCACAGCAGGGGCAAACTGACACCTCACACGCCCTGGTACTCCAACAGACCTGCAGCTGAGGGTCCTGTCTGTTAGAAGGAAAACTAACAAACAGAAAGGACATCCACACCAAAAACCCATCTGTACATCACCATCATCAAAGACCAAAAGTAGATAAAACCACAAAGATGGGGAAAAAACAGAGCAGAAAAACTGGAAACTCTAAAAAGCAGAGCGCCTCTCCTCCTCCAAAGGAACACAGTTCCTCACCAGCAATGGAACAAAGCTGGATGGAGAATGACTTTGACGAGTTGAGAGAAGAAGGCTTCAGACAATCAAATTACTCTGAGCTACGGGAGGAAATTCAAACCAAAGGCAAAGAAGTTGAAAACTTTGAAAAAAATTTAGAAGAATGTATAACTAGAATAACCAATACAGAGAAGTGCTTAAAGGAGCTGATGGAGCTGAAAACCAAGGCTCGAGAACTGCGTGAAGAATGCCGAAGCCTCAGGAGCTGATGCAATCAACTGGAAGAAAGGGTATCAGCGATGGAAGATGAAATGAATGAAATGAAGTGAGAAGGGAAGTTTAGAGAAAAAAGAATAAAAAGAAACGAACAAAGCCTCCAAGAAATATGGAACTATGTGAAAAGACCAAATCTACATCTGATTGGTGTACCTGAAAGTGACAGGGAGAATGGAACCAAGTTGGAAAACACTCTGCAGGATATTATCCAAGAGAACTTCCCCAATCTAGCAAGGCAGGCCAACATTCAAATTCAGGAAATACAGAGAACGCTACAAAGATACTCCTCGAGAAGAGCAACTCCAAGACACATAATTGTCAGATTCACCAAAGTTGAAATGAAGGAAAAAATGTTAAGGGCAGCCAGAGAGAAAGGTTGCGTTACCCTCAAAGGGAAGCCCACCAGACTAACAGCAGATCTCTCAGCAGAAACTCTACAATCCAGAAGAGAGTGGGTGCCAATATTCAACATTCTTAAAGAAAAGAATTTTCAACCCAGAATTTCATATCCAGCCAAACTAAGCTTCATAAGTGAAGGAGAAATAAAATCCTTTCCAGACAAGCAAATGCTGAGAGATTTTGTCACCACCAGGCTTGCCCTAAAAGAGCTCCTGAAGGAAGTGCTAAACATGGAAAGGAACAACCAGTACCAGCCACTGCAAAATCATGCCAAAATGTAAAGACCATCAAGACTAGGAAGAAACTGCATCAACTAACGAGCAAAATAACCAGCTAACATTATAATGACAGGATCAAATTCACACATAACAATATTAACTGTAAATGTAAATGGACTAAATGCTCCAATTAAAAGACACAGACTGGCAAATTGGATAAAGAGTCAAGACACATCAGTGTGTCGTATTCAGGAAACCCATCTCACGTGCAGAGACACACGTAGGCTCAAAATAAAAGGATGGAGGAAGATCTACCAAGCAAATGGAAAACAAAAAAAGGCAGGGATTGCAATCCTAGTCTCTGATAAAACAGACTTTAAACCAACAAAGATCAAGAGACAAAGAAGGCCATTACATAATGGTAAAGGGATCAATTCAACAAGAAGAGCTAACTATCCTAAATATATATGCACCCAATACAGGAGCACCCAGATTCATAAAGCAAGTCCTGAGTGACCTACAAAGAGATTTAGACTCCCACACATTAATAATGGGAGACTTTAACACCTCACTGTCAACACTAGACAGATCAACGAGACAGAAAGTCAACAAAGATACCCAGGAATTGAACTCAGCTCTGCACCAAGTGGACCTAATAGACATCCACAGAACTCTCCACCCCAAATCAATAGAATATACATTTTTTTCAGCACCACATAGCACCTATTCCAAAACTGACCACATAGTTGGAAGTAAAGCTCTCCTCAGCAAATGTACAAGAACAGAAATTATAACAAACTATCTCTCAGACCACAGTGCAATCAAACTAGAACTCAGGATTAAGAAACTCACTCAAAACCGCTCAACTACATGGAAACTGAACAACCTGCTCCTGAATGACTACTGGGTACATAACGAAATGAAGGCAGAAATAAAGATGTTCTTTGAAACCAACGAGAACAAAGACACAACATACCAGAATCTCTGGGACGCATTCAAAGCAGTGTGTAGAGGGAAATTTATAGCAATAAATGCCCACAAGAGAAAGCAGGAAAGATCCAAAATTGACACCCTAACATCACAATTAAAAGAACTAGAAAAGCAAGACCAAACACATTCAAAAGCTAGCAGAAGGCAAGAAATAACTAAAATCAGAGCAGAACTGAAGGAAATAGAGACACAAAAAAACCCTTCAAAAAATTAATGAATCCAGGAGCTGGTTTTTTGAAAGGATCAACAAAATTGATAGACCGCTAGCAAGACTAATAAAGAAAAAAAGAGAGAAGAATCAAATAGACACAATAAAAAATGATAAAGGGGATATCACCACCAATCCCACAGAAATACAAACTACCATCAGAGAATACAACAAACACCTCTAAGCAAATAAACTAGAAAATCTAGAAGAAACGGATAAATTCCTCGACACATATACTCTCCCAAGACTAAACCAGGAAGAAGTTGAATCTCTGAATAGACCAATAACAGGAGCTGAAATTGTGGCAATAATCAATAGCTTACCAACCAAAAAGAGTCCAGGACCAGATGGATTCACAGCCGAATTCTATCAGAGGTACAAGGAGGAACAGGTACCATTCCTTCTGAAACTATTCCAATCAATAGAAAAAGAGGGAATCCTCCCTAACTCATTTTATGAGGCCAGCATCATCCTGATACCAAAGCCTGGCAGAGACACAACCAAAAAAGAGAATTTTAGACCAATATCCTTGATGAACATTGATGCAAAAATCCTCAGTAAGATACTGGCAAACCGAATTCAGCAGCACATCAAAAAGCTTATCCACCATGATCAAGTGGGCTTCATCCCTGGGATGCAAGGCTGGTTCAATATATGCAAATCAATAAATGTAATCCACCGTATAAACAGAACCAGAGACAAAAACCACATGATTACCTCAATAGATGCAGAAAAGGCCTTTGACAAAATTCAACAACCTTCTGCTAAAAACTCTCAATAAATTATGTATTGATGGGACGTATCTCAAAATAATAAGAGCTATCTATGACAAATCCACAGCCAATATCATACTGAATGGGCAAAAACTGGAAGCATTCCCTTTGAAAACTGGCACAAGACAGGGATGCCCTCTCTCACCACTCCTATTCAACATAGTGTTGGAAGTTCTGGCCAGGGCAATTAGGCAGGAGAAGGAAATAAAGGGTATTCAATTAGGAAAAGAGGAAGTCAAATTGTCCCTGTTTGCAGATGACATGACTGTTTATCTAGAAAACCCCATTGTCTCAGCCCAAAATCTCCTTAAGCTGATAAGCAACTTCAGCAAAGTCTCAGGATACAAAATCAATGTACAAAAATCATAAGCATTCTTATACACCAACAACAGACAAACAGAGAGCCAAATCATGAGTGAACTCCTATTCACAATTGCTTCAAAGAGAATAAAATACCTAGGAATCCAACTTACAAGGGATGTGAAGGACCCCTTTCAGGAGAACTACAAACCACTGCTCAGTGAAATAAAAGAGGATACAAACAAATGGAAGAACATTCCATGTTCATGGGTAGGAAGAATCAATATCATGAAAATGGCCATACTGCCCAAGGTAATTTACAGATTCAATGCCATCCCCATCAAGCTACCAATGACTTTCTTCACAGAATTGGAAAAAACTACTTTAAAGTTCATATGGAACCAAAAAAGAGCCCGCATCACCAAGTCAATCCTAAGCCAGAAGAACAAAGCTGGAGGCATCACGCTACATGACTTCAAACTATACTACAAGGCTACAGTAACCAAAACAGCATGGTACTGGTACCAAAACAGAGATATAGATCAATGGAACAGAACAGAGTCCTCAGAAATAATACTGCATATCTACAAATATCTGATCTTTGACAAACCTGAGAAAAACAAGCAATGGGGAAAGGATTCCCTATTTAAGAAATGGTGCTGGGAAAACTGGCTAGCCATATGTAGAAAGCTGAAACTGGATCCCTTCCTTACACCTTATACAAAAATTAATTCAAGATGGATTAAAGACTTAAATGTTAGACCTAAAACCATAAAAACCCTAGAAGAAAACCTAGGCATTACCATTCAGGACATAGGCATGGGCAAGGACTTCATGTCCAAAACACCAAAAGCAATGGCAACAAAAGCCAAAATTGACAAATGGGATCTAATTAAACTAAAGAGCTTCTGCACAGCAAAAGAAACTACCATCAGAGTGAACAGGCAACCTACAAAATGGGAGAAAATTTTTGCAACCTACTCATCTGACAAAGGGCTAATATCCGGAATCTACAATGAACTCAAACAAATTTACAAGAAAAAAACAAACAACCCCATCAAAAAGTGGGCGAAGGACATGAACAGACACTTCTCAAAAGAAGACATTTATGCAGCCAAAAAACACATGAAAAAATGCTCACCATCACTGGCCATTAGAGAAATGCAAATCAAAACCACAATGAGATACCATCTCACACCAGTTAGAATGGCAATCATTAAAAAGTGAGGAAACAACAGGTGCTGGAGAGGATGTGGAGAAATTGGAACACTTTTACACTGTTGGTGGGACTGTAAACTAGTTCAACCATTGTGGAAGTCGGTGTGGCGATTCCTCAGGGATCTAGAACTAGAAATACCATTTGACCCAGCCATCCCATTACTGGGTATATACCCAAAGGACTATAAATCATGCTGCTATAAAGACACATGCACACGTATGTTTATTGCGGCACTATTCACAATAGCAAAGACTTGGAACCAATCCAAATGTCCAACAATGATAGACTGGATTAAGAAAATGTGGCACATATACACCATGGAATACTATGCAGCCATAAAAATTGATGAGTTCATGTCCCTTGTAGGGACATGGATGAAATTGGAAATCATCATTCTCAGTAAACTATCACAAGGACAAAAAACCAAACACTGCATGTTCTCACTCATAGGTGGGAATTGAACAATGAGAACACATGGACACAGGAAGGGGAACATCACACTCTGGGGACTGTTGTGGGGTGGGGGGAGCAGGGAGGGATAGCATTAGGAGATATACCTAATGCTAAATGACGAGTTAATGGGTGCAGCACAGCAGCACGGCACATGTATACATATGTAACTAACCTGCACATTGTGCACATGTACCCTAAAACTTAAAGTATAATAATAATAATAATAATAATAATAATAATAATAATAATAATGAGTCATTTCTAAGTGAGTATTTTGGAACTTGAGATGCTCTTTTACATAAGAGTGTCACCTAGTAAATATATAACATTTCTGATAAGCAAATGCTTCTAGTAAATCTAGCTGCCATATACTCTACTATTATAAAGGTAAAATACATTCAAAGTGATAATTTTAAGGATATCAAGATGTCACGTTCCCCCACTGTATCTCTGAAATAAGACTAGAGTTACTCTTTCAATTCACTTTACTTCAAGAAATACTTCTTGAACATCATCTACACACCTACATCTCCTTCTTCACCTCCTACCTAATGTGCAAAGAGAGAAAGAAGTCTCTCTTCTTCTCAATATGTGGGATTATGTGAAAATCCAAGAGTGCAGATTCTTTAAAAAGAGTGTATTAGTTAAGTCTCTTTTCATTGCAAATGTCAGAAACCCAACTTGAGCCAACTTAAACTAGAACATAATTTTAAGAAGAATCTATTGGCTTGTGTACCAAAAAGTCTAGGAATAGAACTAGTTTTAGACAATAGACCTGAGGATTCTAATGACATCATCAGGCATCTTTCCCTTTCCCAGAGTCAACTTTTGACTTTGTTTACCTGCATGGTCTTTTTCTCTTCTAACCACAATCTTCCTCCCTGTGATTTGAGAAAATGGCCACTGGCAGCCTTGAACTCAGAATGTTCCAACACCATTAAACTAGATGAAAAAGTCTTCTCCCACCTGTTCTAGTAGAAAAGTCATACTCTGATATGTCAGTTTGGCTGACATTTCAACTGAACTCTCTAAGGAGGTTGGGATACAAATTATAGTGATTGACAGTTCATATAGAAGCCCATAGAATAGAAAATGATGGTTCCAAAAAAAAGATAGATGTTGGATAAATGAATTAGATTTATGCAATTACAGAGAGTTAGAAATGGAGGCAGAGTTCTATTAAAGAAATAAAATATGTAATTTAAAACTTTTCCACAAAAAAAAAAACCCCTCCAGATTCAGATGGCTTCACTGATGAGACCTACCAAATATTCAAGAAAGGAAGTATACCAATCTTACATAAAACCTTTCATAAAAGAAAGGAGAAGGAAAAACATGCCCATTGGTTTCACAAGGCCTGATACCAAAACCTCAAAACACATTTAAAAAAAAAAAGGAAAATTATATAACTGGTTAGCTCAGTTGGTTAGATCATGGTGCTAATAAAAAAGGAAAATTATAAACCAATATTTTTATGAACACAGGCAATGGGATCCAACAACATATTAATAGAACAAGGATAATATCCCATGATCAAGTGAGGTTTATTCTAGGAATTCAAAGTTGGGTCAACATGAGAAAATCAATGTAATTCACCACACTACCAAAATAAGAGAGAAAAAAATTATCTCAATAGAATAAAGAAAAACATTTGACAAAATTCAACACCATTCCTCCTGAAAATTTCAGAAACTAGAAATCAAAAATAATTGACTCAATCTGATAAAGGACAGCAAACAGCTAAAATCCAAGATGAACTAATGCTTTTCTCATAAGTAATGCAGGAATAGGACAAAGATATCTGCTGTCATCACTTCTATCCAACATTGTATTGGAAGTTGTCAACAACTGCTTTGAATGCAATAACATTCAATGCAATTGTCAACAACTATATTATTTGGTGATCAGAAAGCTGTTTTGGGCCAGGCGTGGTGGCTCATGCCTGTAATCCCAAAACTTTGGGAGACCGAGGAGGATCACTTGAGCCTAGGAGTTCAAGACAAGCCTGGGCAACACAGTGAGACCTTGTCTCTACTAAAAGTTAAAAAAATTAGCCAGGTGTAGTGGCGTGCCCCTGTAGTCTCAGCTACTTGAGAGGCTGAAGTAAGAGGATCGCTTGAGCTTGGGAGGTCAAGGCTACAGTGAGCCATGATCGCACTGCTGCACTCCAGCCTAGACAACAAAGGGAGACTATATCTCAAAAAAAAAAAAAAAAAAAGAAAAGAAAAGAAAAAGAAAGCTGTTTTAAACATTTTACATCCTAATGTGATAGCTTGTTAGGTATGTGTGAACAATGATCCAAAATATGTCACACATGCACACACATACATGTACACATCATACAGCATAAATATCCTATAGAGTTGGTGTATTCATAAACAAGAGGCCTCCTTTGCCTGAGTCCTCCTTACCGGGCAGTTGATGGGAATTGCTGTTACACTGGCAACTTCTGGAACCATTGAATAAACTAGCAAATTCCTTGTACCCACAGGGATTCTAGCCCCGCACTAAGGCCAATTCCAAGACCCTCTCTGCACCAAGTTCTTATGCACACTAAAGGAACTCTCCCCTTTGCGGCAATTATATTGTGTCTGATGATTCTTATCTGCTTCAGTGCCTCACAGCAGTAACAAGGGTATTCCTTTCAGTGGTCAAGATAGTCTTGCTGCTTTCCTTTTTGTAATCAACATGTGTGACCTGCACACCAAGATGCAGTTCATCAACTGGTGACAGGTAGAGGAATTTCTTCCATGCACTAGTAAACTCTTACTTGATCATGTCTATTGTCTTTGTTAAGAGAGGAAACCTTTCCAAAATCATCACTGGGATACTGGGTCAAATCACAGTGGGCCTTTTTGGCCATAATGGCCATATCACCTTTTCTTTGCAGGAGCAAAGACATATGGTGGCCCCCACTGACTCCACATATGGCCCCTAAGCTAAGGCCCCTCATTTCTCTCTACAACTTGCAAATAACCCCTCTATCTGGAATAACTCCTTCCTGCCCCACAACAACACACCCTGCCAACTGCCAGCTCCCAGTGAAATACGGGTGCCTTTATCAGGACAATTTCACTTCTGGTCTGCCTATCAATGCATCTTCCTAGGAGAGGCCACCTTAAGGCTGCCTTCTGAAGCACTCAAGAGGAGAACCAGGTCTATCTGGATCATGCCCCCACCTAAGCTATGCAGCAACGGGAGAGCACACATGGATTTCACACACCAAATTCCAGGATCCCACTCAAGCCACCTCCTCAGTGTGGAGAGTGGTTCAAGAGAAGTATAATTAAATAATATCAGATGGTTAGGAAATAGAATAATGAATAAACTAATATTTAAAGTTTTTTTAAAAAGAGGCATTCTACTAGAAGAAAACTTAACTGGGAAGACATTCATAGGGTATAAGTGCACTGCCTGCACTTGGGGAAAGATTAGGAGAAGGATACATGATCTAAATTGCAACCTTTATTGACTGAATGTCTGGCTCTGTTCTACACCTTTGAAAAGAAAGAGAGAGACAGAGAAAGAAAAGAAGAAAGAAGGAAAGAAAGAAAGAAGGAAAGAAAGAAAGAAAGAAAGAAAGAAAGAAAGAAAGAAAGAAAGAAAGAAAGAAAGAAAGAAAAGAAAGAAAGGGGAAGAAAGAGGAAGGAAGGCAGGGAGGGAGGGAGGGAAGGGAAGGGAAAAGAAAAAAAAGGCTTTAATGGCAAAAGGCATTGACTGTGAGAAAAACTGGTTTAAAATACATTTTAGTTGTCCAGAAACTGAATTCATTGAAATGCCCATTTTCCCTCTCTTCTGAGTTTGTATTTCTCTCACTGTAAGAGATGGTTATGTCACCGTGTACATGTATCCCTAAAAGTTCACCATTTCCCCCTTCCATCATTATCATTACAAATTTAATTTCAATTCTCCCTAATAACAATGGGCCAATATTTGCAGTACAATGGCTAATCTTTACTTCGGTCCTGGAAATCAGAGCCCCAGTAGGCTAAGAGCAAAAGGGTCAGATAAAGACAACTGAAAAACAGACTTTATTCACTTCTTTCTTTTCATCCTCATTAGCACTCTCAACCACCTTCCAGCATCTTTTCTGGAGAATTTTCCCTCCAGAGATTCATATCAAAAGTAAGCTTATTACACAAATCTGAGAGGAAATAGGATTGGGGTAAAAAGTCTGGTCTTACACTCTGGCGTCTATTTCTGGCCTCAACAAATGCATCTTTGGTCAAGTAGAATGTGAAATGTAATAACTTGGTTACAACCTCAAAGATATAAATGAGTCATTGAGATATTTTATGGTATGTTTTATTTGGAGAATGGCCTTTCTGGAAAAGACCAGCAAAATGTGTTTTTTTTTTTTCCATAGGACACAAGACTTCCTAAAATGATCATTATCATGAAGAACAATTTGTTATTTCTATTTTTATTTATTTTAGAGACAGGGTCTCACTCTATGGCACAGGCTGGAGTGCAAGTGGTGCAATCATAGCACATAGCAGTCTTGAACCCCTGGACTCAGGTGATCCTCCTGCCTCAGCCTCCCAAGTAGCTAAGACTTCAGGGGCTCACCACCATGTCTGGCTAATTCTTACATTTTTATTTTTTGTAGAGACTGGGTCTTGCTCTGTTGCCCAGGCTGATCTCAAACTCCTGGGCTCGAGCAGTTCCTCCTGCCTTGGCCCTCTCAAAGTGCTGGCATTACAGGCATGAGCCACTGCTCCTGGCTGCCTGCTTTTTGTTGTTGTTGTTGTTTTGTTTTGTTAATGAGATAGCACATATACTGAGAGGAAAAACTTCAAATAGAACAAGGAGTTCCTTTCTACTCCACATCCTAAGCCAGTTACATCTGAAAATTACCTCTATCATGGGTTTTCTACTTATTCTTGCAGAAGTTTTATACATTTATATATGTCTATACATTTTAGTAGTTATTTTTCTAATTCCTTTGCTTTACACAAAGGGAGGAATGTGACTTGTTCTATATCTTTTTGTAACATCTATCTTATTTATTTTAAAAAGCCACGTAGTCTTTCCTATTGTTACACATTTGGGTTGCCTATTTTTTCTCGATACAAATTACACTTCAACATCTTGCATATACATCTTTTCAGCTTTGTGAATGCATGTCCATGGGATAAATTCCTAAAAGTGGAATTTCTGGATGAGAAACTTTGTGTATGCTTAACTTTAATGGATATTGCTAAATTGCCCTCCACAGAGTAATATTTCTCAATTTGTACTCTCACTAACAGTGGATGGGAGTATGCCTTTCCCCATATTCTTATTAACATTATTGTATTATCCAACTTGTTAAACCTTTTTAATAATCTGATATGTGACAAATGGTATCTCCTTTGTGTGTTTTTTGTGTTTCAATATACATATCTTTGTAAATAAGGTTGAGAATAATTTTATGTGTTTATAATCCATTTACATTTACTTTTCTATGAAACGCCTATTTATATATTTTGCTATTTTTTTATTTTTGTAGCTTGTCCTTTTGTTATTGACTCTTAAGAATTCTTCAATGCTAAGAAAATTTGTGTTTTGCCTGAAATGTTTTCTTGTAATTTGCCAGTTGTCTTTCGACTTTGTTTAGAATATTTCTTGCTGTACAGAAAGCTTCATTTTCTTTGATATATAGCTACATTTCAGTATTTTCTGTTCTGCCTTTTTTTGTATGTCAGTTAAAAAATTCTTCATTACACCAAAATTATTGTATAAATGTTCACATTTTCCTTGAATATTTTATTGTTTTCTTTTTCATTTATTTCTGACAGTTTAGAAGTTGGTAGGCACTCAGCTATATTTTTCCACAAATGGAAAGCCAGTTGTTCCAATACCAAATTAGTAAATAATCTATTTTTATAAAATGATTTGAAATGTCATCTTTAGTAGATATCAAATTCCCATATTATTCTGATTCTAGCTGTAGACTGTGCTTTCTTCTAGTGGCAGTACAGAGTAGGCAAACCTCCGCAAGTTAAAATGTGCCAAAATATCGGTCCCCTCAGCCCCTTGGACAGCTAAGCTGGTCCTCAGGTAACCCAGGCCTTAAGCAATTGCCTCTACACGTGACCTTGATTGATTTCCCAGCATGCCATAAAAATATTTTCATTTTCTATGTGTACCACAACATGAAGAAGGTTGAGAAGCACTGGTGTTTGTTTGTAGGTATACGGGATTAAATTATCTCTGCACAAAAAGCTATCTAGGTTCAAATCTAGGACCTATCTTTACTGGTTGTGTGACCTTGGGTGAATTATTAATTTACCTTGCTGAAAAGGGAATTAAAGAAATTTGTTCTTGCTATTGTTTATCTTTCCTTGGGAATGAATATTGGATTTTATCAAATGCCTTTTCACCATGTATGAAAATACTCACTTTTTAACCATTTAGCCTATTAAATATATAAATTAAATCAATATATTTCTTAATATTGAACCATTAGTTCATTCCTGACAGGACCTTAACTTAGTATATATTATTATTTGAAATTACTAATAGATGCTATTACCTAATTTCTTTAGGATTTTGTATTGATATTCACAAATTACATTTATTAATAATTTTCTTTTTCTGTACTACATTTATCACATTTTGGAATAATTGCTTTCTGGCATCATAGATAATATTTGGAAACCTTCCTTCTTTATGCATTGAAGCAGTTGAAATAGCATTGAGATTATTTGTTCCTTGGAGGTTTGAATGATACCATCTGTGAAGATGTCTGGGCTTGATACTTCTTAGTAGGTCACTAAGAAGCCAGCATCATCCTGATACCAAAACCTGACAGAGACACACACAAAAAAAGAAAAATTCAGGCCAATATCCCTGATGAGCACTGAGAAGAAAATCGTTGTGAAATTCCTCATTTATAACTTCAAATAATGCCACATTTCCAGTTAATTTAAGGGAGATTTTACAATGACATTACTAGTGAATTATCTTTGCTGACATTTGGACTCCCCAAAGTCCCACTTGATTCATAGTCTTTATTTCCAACATGATCCATACAACAAGTTTTAAAACTTCTGTTTTAAAGGCATAGACACGTAACAGAGAAATATGAGAAAGGGGTATTTCCAGATGCTGACCCTAAAATGTACCTTATTCTGTGAGCCAGAGTCTAGTAAATTCTACTTTTGCACATTCTTCATAGATTCTCAAGCTTTTAACTAGGATTTATAATCTTAAAATGGATGATTCAAATTACTAAAATAAACTAAATTTCTTATTTATTCTGGACTGCCTAAGATTAGCTAAATTTCTGGCTTTGGATTTATAGCCTTTGGTCCCTGAAAAACACATGTATTTTTGGATATCACCATTGAAAGATTATTCACAAACTTTGGATTTTGTTATCTTTGTAAAGATAATTTTAAAATTAAATAAGTATGATAGAATATTAAATTTGATATTTCTTGGATTTTTTGTTTTGGGGTTTCTATTTTTTTGTTTCAGCAGACATCCCAAAATCTGAAAACAATAGAAGTGCCATATATATATATACACATATATGTGTGCATGTACACATATATGTATGTATATATGTATATACATGCATGTATATCATTACGCATACATATATACATACATGCGTGTATATATGTATATGTATGACATCTGTTGTTTTATATATAAATATATATATGATGTGTGTATATATGTATATGTATGACATCTGTTGTTTTATATATAAATATATATATGATGTGTGTGTGTGTATACACACATTCTAAATCAAAGTGCCTGATTGCTTTTTCATTCATTCATTCATATGTTGAACATATATCTATTGACAGCCTACTATGTGTCAGGCTTTTCTCTAAAACCAAATGACACAGAAATAATCAAAACACATAAAAAATGTCTGCTTTATTGCTGCTTACATTCCAGTGGATATTTGAAGACTATCATTCGCCTCCAGACTAAGAGATAGCTAAATATCCACTGAAAGGGTGAAGAGGCTGCTAATGAGGATTTTTTTTTGGAGACTATTGTCAGAGCATTATAAATTATCTCTCTCTTACATGGGAGGGAAAGGAAACTCCCCTTTCATCTCAAATCAATTGAAGGGGGCCTCAAAAGAACCATTTGGGAGGCTAATATGCATTCTCTGGAATTTCAGAGACATGAGAGCAAGTTACTTGACCCATGGCTGAACAAAAAAGCAAAGGTAAGTGTACCTAGAGCTGCCTATAGAAGAATAAGAAGCCTCTTGTCAGTAGTAAGTTACAAGTTCATTGAAAGCAGGGCAGAGGGGTCGATTTTCCATAGATCACATACAACTCTGCGGAATGGTGCTGCCTGATAGTCAAGTTGATTAGCTGGCCATAAGTGCCACCAAAAGCTTCTGCTAAGGGTGAGGCAGCCTCAGCAACAAGAAGATAAAGGTGTGTCATAGATGCAGAAGAGATATGAAGGGGTGAAATTGACCATGTGGAAGCAGCATCACTCATTCCAGGAACTGCAGGTGAAGATCTCCAAGGAGGGAATCATCAAACTGAAGGGGGAAATAAAAATAAGCCTTGAATTCCACCATGCCCAGATGGCATCAACACCATATTACAACTTTACAAGTTCAAAAGCACATTTCTGCCCCTTATTCTTCTTTCCCTACTCTAATATTCCCTAGTATTAAAGGAGCCCAAAACAGCAACTGTTAAGTGGAGAATGCAGTGAAGCAAAAAAAAAAAAAAAAATCAGATCATAAGAACCCCTGTCTACCCCACCTTCTCAGTCGATGGAGCCTGAGGCCAACCTAAACTAGGGAAGAAGAGAACTCTTAAACTAAATGAGATTTGGGACTTTTGATAAGCATTTGTGCTGTATATTCATTATTTAATGAGACAGAGGAGTCTTCGGACCTGACTGAGATTTTATTCCAGGGGCTAGAAACAACTGATCCAAAGAACAAGTGAAAAAGAATAAATTAAAGGTGCATTCTGCTTCACTCTACTAAGTACAGTTCATCCAATAAACCAATTAAATAAGTTTAGCTTTTCATAAGTAGAAAGAAACACAAACCTTTAAGTTAGACTTCCTGGGAGAACAAGGTAACATAATGTGGAATCTTTTGATATAAAAAGTGAAGCTACAAAGCCTCCTGAATCAATTTCTAAATAACCTATGGCAATAGGATATTAGAGATAAACAGAAAAATAATAACATATCTCCACTATGGGCATCTTTTCCAGGTTTTATAAAATATCTCTGATTATTTCTGTTATCGAATTTTATGATTGGGAACTTATGAGTGGGACCCATAGAGCTCTGAGGGGAGTAATTGTTTTTATTTTTTTCAAAAGCTTAATTTGAGTATGATGCCTGTAACAGGTTCAACAGTGGTAGAATAAAGTTTCTACCACTTGCACAACAGAATACAAAGATCATCCAAAATAGAAGATAAATGAGTCAGATATTAAATACAGTGGATTTTTTCAGATCAGCATGCCCTCGTAGCATAGTTCCAGGGTTAATATATATCCTGAACTTATTATAGAAATAATCTTTCCAGGTGCATGTTGGACAATGATGAAGCCTAAAGCTGAAAAATGATATGCGTAAGACCTACCTCTAAAAATGAAAATAACGTAATAGCCCAAAAATATTATAGTCTGGTCACCTTAACTTTGATACCTGAAAAGACCAAACTCATTAATCATTTCATTTATAAAATGCTAAATGATCACAAGTGCCAGAGAGTAGTCAGTGGGATTTTAGGAAGAATAAATCAGTCAGACCTATGTAATATTGTTCCATGACAGACTGCCAGGCATTATTGATTGGAAGGGAAGGAAAAAAGACTTTAATCCTGGTCTTAAAGGACCTAATCATAAATAAATTTAGGAAGATATTTTCAAAGTGCATCACTACAAGAATTCTCAACTTCTTAGAAGGCAGAACAGATGGTATTTCATTCTCCTCTTTTCTTTCCTAAAGCAAAAACAAGAGCGTGATTAAGCCTTAGTTAAACATATACAAACAGAGAAAAAACAAAGGAAAGAAAGAAATCCTTTACCAAATTGTTGTAAATTGAGAGGGTGTCATTCACATTGCAAGTGGAGAAAACATGCTATAAATAGCTTTGCAGGAGGATTTATTTTATGCTACATTAGCACAAAAAAAGTCAAAAGCTAGGGAATGTGGCTCCCCCCAAAAAGAGATGAGAAAGGTTCAGGAGACAAAAATCGATTTCAAGACAAAAGCTACAAAAATAGACAAAAAAAAGTCATTATATAATGATATAGGAGTCAATTCAGCAAGAGAACATAACAACTGTAAATATATATGCACCTAACACTAGAGCACCCAGATATATAAAGAAAATATTATTAGAGCTAAAGAGAGAGATGGGCCCCAATACAATAATAACTGAAGAGTTCAACATCCCACTTTCAGCACTGGGCAGGTTATCTAGATGGAAAATCAACAAAGAAACGTTGGATTTAATGTGCATTATAGATCAAATATACCTAATAGATATTTACAGAACATTTCATGCTATGATTGCAGAATACACATTCTTCTCCTCAGTACATGGATAATTCTCAAGGATAGGCCACAAGTTAGGCCACAAATCAAGTCTTTAAAGTTTCAAAAATAATTGAAAACATATCATATTAGTTTGTTCTCACACTGCTATAATGAACTACTTGAAACTGGGTAATTCATGAAGAAAATAAGTTTAATTGACTCACAGTTCTACAGGCTATACAGAAGCATGGTTGGGAGACCTCAGGCAACTGACAGTCATGGCAGAAGGTGAAGGGGAAGCACGCAAGCACATCTTACCATGGTGGAGCAGTAAAGAAAGATAATGAAGGGAGAAGTGCCACACACTTTCAAACAGCCAGATCTCATGAAAACTAGCTCGCTATCATGAGAAAACAACATAACACATATCTTCTTGGACCACAATGGAATTAAACTAAAAATAAATAAAAAGAGGAGCTTTGGAAACTATATGAACACATGGAAATTAAACAATATGCTCCTAAATGACCAGTGGGTCAATGAAGAAATTAAAAAGAAAATTTAAGCAGTGAGCTGAGATTACGCCACTGCACTCCAGCCTGGAGGACACAGCAAGACTCTGTTCTAGAAAATAATCCCCTTTACAATAGCTACAAATAAAATAAAATACATAAGAATAAATTTATTCAAAGAAATGAAAGATTACTACAATAAAAACTATAGGCTGGGTACAATGGCTCATTCCTGTAATCCCACCATTTTGAGAGGTCAAGATAGGAGGATTGCTTGAGCCCAGGAGTTCAATACAAGCCTGGACAACATAGTGAGATCCCATCTCTACAACAAATAAATAAATTTCTTTAAACTTTTAAACCTTTTTTAAAAAAAACCATAGAGTGCCAAGATGGCCAAATAGGAACAGCTCTGGTCTTTAGCTCCCAGCGTGATCAACGCAGAAGATGGGTAATTTCTGCATTTCCAAGTGAGATACTTGGTTTATCTCACTGGGACTGGTTGGACAGTAGGTGCAGCCCATGGAGGGCAAGCCGAAGCAGGGAGGGGCATCACTTCACCGGGAAGAGCAAGGGGTTGGGGTATTTCCCTTTCCTAGCCAAGGGAAGTCATGACAGACTGTACATGGAAAAACAGGACATTCCCACCTAAATATTGCATTTTTCCAATGATCTTAGCAAACAGCACATCAGGAGATTATATCCCGCGCCTGACTCAGAGGGTCCCATGCCCATGGAGCCTTGCTCACTGCTAGCACAGCAGTCTGAGATCCACCAGAGAGGCAGCAGCCTGGCAGGGGGAGGGGCGTCCACCATTGCTGAGGCTTGAGTAGGTAAACAAAGCAGCCAGGGAAGCTCAAAGTGGGCGGAGCCCACCGTGGCTCAGCAAGGTCTACTGCCTCTGTTGACTCCACCTCTAGGAGCAGGGCATAGCTCAACAAAAGGCAGCAGAAACTTCTGCAGACTTAAATGTCCCTGTCTGACTGCTCTGAAGAGAGCGGTGGTTCTCCAAGCATGGAGTTTGAGTTCTGAGAACAGACAGACTGCCTGCTCAAGTGGGTCCCTGACCCCCGTGTAGCCTAACTGGGAGACACCTCCCAGTAGGGGCTGGCTGACACCTCAGAAAGGTGGGTGCCCCTCTGGGACGAAGCTTCCATAGGAAGGATCAGGCAGCAACATTTGCTCTTCTGCAATATTTGCTGTTCTGCAGCCTCTGCTGGTGATACCCAGGAAAACGGGGTCTAAAGTGGACCTCTGGCGAACTCCAACAGACCTGCAGCTGAAGGATCCGCTAGAAGGAAAACTAACAAACAGAAAGGAATAGCACCAACATTAACAAAAAGGACATCCACACTAAAACCCCACCTCCAGTTCACCAATATCAAAGACCAAAGGTAGATAAAACCACAAAGATGGGGAGAAACGAGAGCAGAAAAGCTGAAAAGTCCAAAGAACAGAGCATCTCCTCTCCTTTAAAGGATTGCAGCTCCTCGCCAGCAATGGAACAAAGCTGGATGGAGAATGACTTGGATGAGTTGACAGAAGTAGGCTTCAGAAGGTCGGTAATAACAAACTTCTCCAAGCTAAAGGAGGATGTTTGAACCCATTGCAAGGAAGCTAAAAACCTTGAAAAAATATTAGATGAATGGCAACTAGAATAAACAGTGTAGCAAAGACCTTAAATGACCTGCTGGAGCTGAAAGCCATGGCACAAGAACTATGTGACACATACACAAGCTTCAGTAGCCAATTCGATCAAGTGGAAGAAAGGGTGTCAGTGATTGAAGATCGAATTAATGAAATAAAGCAAGAAGAGAAGTTTAGAGAAAAAAAGTAAAAGAAATCAACAAAGCCTCCAAGAAATATGGGACTATGTGAAAAGACCAAATCTACGTTTGATTGGTGTACCTGAAAGTGACTGGGAGAATGGAACCAAGTTGGAAAACACTCTGCAGGGTATTATCCAGGAGAACTTCCCCAACCTAGCAAGGCAGGCCAACATTCAAATTCAGGAAATACAGAGAACACCACAAAGGTACTCCTTGAGAAGAGCAACCCCAAGACACATAATTGTCAGATTCACCAAGGTTGAAATGAAGGAACAAATATTAAGGGCAGCCAAAGAGAAAGGTTGGGTTACCCACAAACGGAAGCCCATCAGACTAACAGCAGATCTCTTTGCAGAAATCCTACAAGCCAGAAGAGAGTAGGGGCCAATATTCAACATTGTGAAAGAATTGTCAACCCAGAATTTCATATCCAGCCAAACTAAGCTTCATAAGTGAAGGAGAAATAAAATCCTTTACAGACAAGCAAATGCTGAGAGATTTTGTCACCACCAGGCCTCCCTTACAAGAGCTCCTGAAGGAAGCACTAAACATGGAAAGGAACAATGGGTACCAGCCACTGCAAAAACATGCCAAATTGTAAAGACTATCGATGCTAGGAAGAAACTACATCAACTAACCGGTAAAATAACCAGCTAACATCATAATGTCAGGATCAAATTAACACATAACAATATCAACCTTAAATGTAAATGGGCTAAATGTCCCAATTAAAAGACACAGAACCAACCCAAATGTCCATCAATGACAGACTAGATAAAGAAAATGTGGCACATATACACTATGGAATACTATGCAGCCATAAGAAAGGATGAGTTCATGTCCCTTACAGGGACATGGATGAAGCTGGAAACCATCATTCTCAGCAAACTATCACAAGGACAGAAAATCAAACACCCCATGTTCTCACTCATAGGTGGGAATTGAACAATGAGAAGACTTGGACACAGGAAGGGGAACATCACACACCGGGGCCTGTCATAGGGTGGGGGGATGGGGGAGGGATAGCATTAGGAGAAATACCTAATGTAAATGACGAGTTGATGGGTGCAGCAAACCAACATGGCACATGTATACTTATGTAACAAACCTGCACGTTGCGCACATGTACCCTAGAACTTAAAGTATAATAATAAAAAAACAATAAAACATTGATGTAAGAAATTAAAGAGGACACAAGAAATAAAATAATTCCATATTCATATATTCAAAAAATCAATTTTTTTATTTCAATAGTTTTGGGGATATAGGTGGATTTTGGTTACATGGATGAGTTCTTGGTGGTGAATTCTGGAATTTGTAATGCACCCATCATCTAAGCAGTGTACAGCATACCTAATATGTTGTCTTTTATCCCTCATCCTCCTCCCAACCTCTCCCACCCCAAGTCCTCAAAGTTCATTATATCACTCTGTATGTTTTTGCATCCTCATAGCTTAGCTCCCACTTACAAGTGAAAACATATGGTATTTGGTTTTCCATTCCTGAGTTACATCACTTAAAATAACGACCTCTAGCTCTATCCACGTTGTTGCAAGACATTATTTTGTTCCTTTTAATGGCTGAGTAGTATTTCCTGATGTATATATACCACACTTTCTTTATCCAACCATTGGTCAATAGGCAGGTTAGTTCCATATCCTTACAACTGTGAACTGTACCGCTACAAATATGCATGTGCATGTGTCTTTTTCATATACTAATTTCTTTTCCTTTGGGTAGATACCTAGCAGTGGGATTGCTGGATTAAATGATAGATCTATGTTAAGTTCTTTAAGGAATCTCCATGTTTTTCATAGTGATTGCACTAATTTACATTCCCACCAGCAGCGTAAATGTGCTCCCTTTTCACCACATCCGTACTAATATCTATTGTTTTTTGACTTTTTAATTATGGCCATTCATGCAGGAGTAAGGTAGTATCATGTGGTTTTAATTTGCATTTCCCTGATGATTAGTAAAGTTGAGCATTTTTTCATGTTTGTTGGCTGTTTGTACATCTTTTTTTTTCTTGCTGATTTGTTTGAGTTCCTTGTAGATTCTGGATACTAGTTGTTTGTTGGATGCATAGTTTGTGAATATTTTCTCCCACTCTGTAGGTTTTCTGTTTATTCTGCTAATTACTTCTTTGGCTGTGCAAAAGCATTTTAGTTTAACCAGGTCCCATTGATTTATTTTTGTTTTTATTGCATTTGTTTTGGGGGCCTTAGTAATGAATTGTTTGCCTAAGCCAATGTCCAGAAGAGTTTTTCCAATGTTATCTTCTAGAATTTTTATGATTTCAGGTCTTAGATTTAAGTCTTCGATGCATCTTGAGTTGATTTTTGTATATGGTGAGAGATGAGGATCCAGTTTCATTCTTCTACATGTGGCTTGCCAGTTTTCCCAGCACCATTTATTGAATAGGATTGTCCTTTCCCCTAGTTTACGTTTTTGTGTGTTTTGTCAAGGATCAGTTGGTTGTAAGTATTTTGGCATTATTTCTGGGTTCTCTATTCTGTTTAAGTGCCTATTTTTATACCAGTACCATGCTGTTTTGGTAGCCACAGGCTTGTAGTACAGTTTGAAGTTTGTAATGTGATGCCTCCATGTTTATTAATTTTTCTTAGTATTGCTTTTGCTATGTGGGCTCTTTTTTGGTTTCATATGGATTTTAGGATTGTTTTTCCTAGGTCTGTGAAAAATTATGATGGTATTTTGATGAGAATTGCATTGAATCTTAGATTGCTTTGGATGGTATGGTCATTTTCACAATATTGATTCTTTCCATCCATGAGGATGGGATGTATTTACATTTGTTTGCATCATTTATGATTTCTTTTGGCAGTGCTTTGTAGTTTTCCTTGTAGAGAGCTTTCACTCCTTGGGTTAAGTATATTCCTTGGGGGTTTTTTGTTGTTGTTGTTGTTGTTATTGTTGTTGTTGCTGCTGCTGCTGTTTTTGCAGCTGTTGCGAAAGGGATTGAGTTCTTGATTTGATTCTTAGCTTAGTCGTTGTTGGTGTATAGCAGTGCTACTGATTTGTATACGCTGATTTTGTAATCTGAAAGTTTGCTGCTAGTAGCCTTTTGGATGAGTCTTTGGGGTTTTCTAGATATACAACCATATCACTGGCGAACAGTGAGAGCTTAACTCCCTCTTTTCCAGTTTGAATGCTCTTTGTTTCTTTCTCTTGTCCTGTTGCTCTGGCTAGGACTTCCAGTACTACGTTGAATAGAAATGGTGAAAGAGGTCATCCTTGTCTTGTTCTAGTTCTCAGGGGTAATGCTTTCAACCTTTCCCCCATTCAGTACGACGTTGGCTGTGGGTTTGTCATATGTGGCTTTTATTACTTTGAGGTGAGTCCCTCCTGTACTTATTTTGTTGAGGGATTTTATCATAAAGGGATGCTGGATTTTATCAAATGCTTTTTTCTGTATCTATTTAAATGGTCATATGGTTTTTGTTTTTAATTCTGCTTATGTGGTATATCACATTTATTGACTTACATATGTTAAACAACCCCTGAATCTCTGGGATGAAACCCTGCTGATCATGATGTATTATTTTTTTTGATGTGCTGTTGGATTCATCCAGCTAGCATTTTGTTGAGGATTTCTGCATCTATGTCCATCAGGGATATTGGTCTGTAGTTTTCCTTTTTTGTTATGTTCTTTCCTGGTTTTGGTACTAGGGTGATATTTCCTTTATAGAATTATTTTGAAAGAACTTCCTCTTTCTATATCTTTTGGAATAGTTTCAGTATGATTGGTACCAATTCTTTGAATGTCTGATAGAATTCGGTTGTGAATCCATCTAGCCTTGGGCTTCTTTTTGTTGGCAAATTGTTTGTTAGTGATTCAACCTCACTCTTGTTGTTGGTTTGTTCAGGGTTTCTATTTCTTCCTAATTTGATCTAGGAGGGTTGTATGTTTCCAGGAATTTATCCATTTCCTCTAGATTTTCTGCTTTGTGTGCATAAAGGAGTTTATAGTAGCCTTGAATGATCTTGTGAATTTCTGTGGTATTGGTTGTAATATCTCCAGTTTCATTTCTAATTGAGCTTATTTGGATTGCATCCTTTCTTTTTGTGGTTAATCTTGCCAGTGGTCTATCAATTTTGTTTCTCTTTTCAAAGAACCAGCTTTTGTTTCATTTATCTTTTGTATTTTTTTAATGATTTCATTTAGTTTTGCTCTAATCTTGGTTATTTTGTTCTTCCTCTGGCTTTGGGTTTAGCTTTTTCTTGTTTCTCTAGTTCCTTGAGGAGTGATATTCAGTTGTCAATTTATGCTCTTTAAGACTTTTTGATGTAGGTGTTTAATGCTATGAGCTTTCCTCTTAGCATTGCTTTTGCTGTATCACAGATGTTTTGATAACTTGTGTCAATATTATCATTGATTTCAAATAATTAAAAAAAATTTTTTTTTGACAGAGTCTTGCTCTGTCACCAGGCTGGAGTGCAGTGGCATGATCTCGGCTCACTGCAACCTCTGCCTCCCGAGTTCAAGCAATTCTCCTGCCTCAGCCTCTGGAGTAGCTGGGACTACAGGCACACACCACCACACCTGGCTAATTTTTTGTATTTTTAGTAGAGATGGGGTTTCACCAAGCTGGCCAGGCTGGTCTCGATCTCCTGACCTCATGATCCTCCCACCTCGGCCTCCAAAAGTGCTGGGATTACAGGCGTGAGCCACCGTGCCTGGCCAATTTTTAAATTTTCATCTTGGTTTCCTTGCTAACCCAAAAATCATTCAAGAGCAGAGTATTTAATTTCCATGTATCTTTATAGTTTTGAGGACTCCTTTTAGAGTTGATTTTCAGTTTGAATCTACTGTGATCTAAGAAGATACTTGATACGATTTCAATTTTCTTAAATTGATTGAGACTTGTTTTGTGGCCTATCATATGATCTATCTTGGAGAATGTTGATGTGCTGATGAGAAAAATGTATATCCTACCACTGTTGGAAAGAATGTTCTACAACTATCTATTAATTCCATTTGTTCTGGGGTATTGTTTAAGTTCATTGTTTCTTTGTTGACTTTCTCTCTTGATTATCAGTCTAGTGCTGTCAGTGGAGTATTGAAGTCCCCAGCTATTATTGTGTTGCTGTCTATCCGATTTCTTAGGTCTAGTAGTAATTGTTCTATAAATCTGGGAGCTCCAGTATTAGATGCATATAAATTTAGGATTGTAATAACTTCTTGTTGGACTGATCCTTTTATCATTATATAATGTCCTTCTTTGTCTTTTTTTTTTTTTTACTGTTGCTGCTTTAAAGTCCATTTTGTCTGATATAAGAATAGCTGCGCTTGCTCATTTTTGGTTTCCATTTACATGGAATATCTTTTTCCACCCCTTTAACTTGAGTTTATATGAATCTTTACGTGTCAGGTGAGTCTCCTGAAGACAGAAGATATTTGGTTGTTGTTTTTTTTTCTATTCATTCTGCCATTCTGTATCTTTTAAGTGGATTATTTAAGCCATTTACATTCAATGTTAATATTAAGATGTGAGGTACTATTCTATTCATCATACTAGTTGTTACCTAGATACTTTGTTTTTTTTCATTGTGTTATTGTTTTATAGACTTTATGAGTTGTATGCTTTCAGAAGGTTCTATTTTGGTGTATATCTAGCTTTTGTGTCAAGATTTAGAACTTTTTTTGCATTTCTTGTAGTTCTGGTTTGGTAATTACAAATTTCCTCAACATTTGTTTCTCTGAAAAAGACTTTTATTTCTTCTTCATTAGTGAAGCTTTCCTGGATACAACAGTCTTAGCCGAGAATTATTCTGTTTAAGGAGGCTACAGATAGGACCCAATCCCATCTAGCTTGTAAGGTTTCTGCTGAAGTCTGATGTTAGTCTGATAGGTTTATCTTTATAGGTTACCTGATGCTTTTATCTCACAGTTCTTTGAATTCTTTCCTTCATGTTGACTTTAGGTAACCTGATGATTATGTGCCTTGGTAGTTATCTTTTTGTAATGAATTTCCCAGGACTTCTTTAAGCTTTTTGTGTTTGGATATATAAATCTCTAGCAAGGTCCATACTACCTAGTAGTATCTATAGGCTCAATGCAATATTCATCAAAATACCAATGATATTCTGCACAGAAGTAGGAAAAAAACCTTAAAATTTATATGGAACTACAAAATACACAGAATAACCACAGACATCTTTGAGGGAAAAAAAATGAAACTGGAGAAATCACATTATCTGCCTTCAAATTATACTACAGAGCTATAAGAACAAAAACATCATTGTACTGGTGCAAAAATAGGCACAAAGACCAATGGTATGGAAGAAAATAACCCATAAATAAATCCACAAATCTGGGGTAAACTCAGTCTTGACAAAAGTGCCAGGAGCATACATTGGAGAATGGAGAATATCTTCAATAAATGGTGCTGAGAAAACTGGATGTCCATAGGCAGAAGAATGAAACTAGACAGCTATCTCTTGCTGTATACAAAAATCAAATCAAAATGGATCAAAGACTTAAATAGAAGACCTCAAACTAAGAAACCACTAAAATAAACATTGAGGAAACTCTCCAGGACATTGGCCTGGGCTGAGATTTCTTGAGTAATACCCCACAAGCACAGGCAACCAATGAAAAAATGGACAAATGTAATCACAATAACTTAAAAAGCTTTTGCACAGCAAAAGAGACAATCAACAAAGTGAAGATACAACCTACAGAATGGGAGAAAATATTTGTAAACTATCAATCTGTCAAGGGATTAATAACCCAGTAAGAAAAATTAATAACTCAATAGGAAAAAAATCTAAAAATCCAATGAAAAAATAGGCAAAAAATCTGAATAGACATTTCTCAAAAGCTGTACAAACGGCAAACAGGTATATGAAAATGTGCTCAACATTATTGATCACCAGAGAAATGCAAGTCAAACTGTAATGTGATATCATTTCACCCCAGTTACAACGGTTTTTATCTGTGAGATATCTGCACTCCCATGTTTATTTTAGAACTATTCACAATAGCCAAGATTTGGAAAGACCTAAGTGTCTATCAACAGAGAAATGATTAAAGAAAATGTGGTACAGATACACATTGGTGTACTATTCAGGCATAAAAAAGAATGAGATCCTGTCATTTGCAACAACATGAATGGAACTGGAAGATATCATGTTACATGAAATGAGCCAGGAACATAAAGACAAACTTCACATATTCTCATTCATTTGTGGGAGCTAAAAATTAAAAACAATGGAACTCATGGACAAAGAGAGTAAGTGGATGGTTACTAGAGGCTGGGAAGATTAGTAGCAAGGGGGAGAAGAGAGGATGGTTAATGGGTACAAAAATATAGTTAGATAGAATGAATAAGATCTAGTATTTGATATCACAACAGAGTGACTATGGTCAAAAATAATTAATAGTACATTTAAAAATAACTAAAAGAGTATAACTGGAATGTTTGTAACACAAAGAAATGATAAATGCTTCAGGATGGATGGATACCCCATTTACCTTGATATGATTATTATACACATTGTATGCCTGTATCAAAGTATCTCATGTATACCATAAATATATACACATATATTATGTACTCATAAAACTAAAAATAAAAATAGGTTGGGTGTGGTGGCTCTTGCCTGTAATTTCAGCAGTTTTGGAGGCCAAGACAGGTGGATAGCCTGAGGTCAGAAGTTCGAGACCAGCCTGGCCAACATGGAGAAACCCCATCTATACTAAAAATACAAAATTAACTAGGCATGGTGGCGCATGGCTGTAGTAATCCAAGCTACTTGGGAGGCTGAGGCAGGAGAATCACTTGAACCTGGGAGGCAAAGGTTGCAATGAGCCAAGATCGTGCCATTTCACTCCAGCCTGGGCAACAAGAGCAAAACTCTGTTTCAAAAAATAAAAATAACAAAACAAATTGCAAAGAAAGAAAATAAGCTCTAGCAGAAGGATGCCCATGGGCACCCCACTATCATGCCACCACTAGCACAAACATGTATGCAGATGCCACCACCCCACTCCCATCAGTGTCCCATCACAACCAACACATGTGCACCCTGCACACTGCCACAGCTGCTGGCACACATTCCCACACCCCTTCAAAACACTTTGCTTGGCACCTCCCATCAGACTGTTGGAGCCAATAGAGAAGAACCACCTCAGCCACTTCAGCACAACAGATTTCTAACCTCAAGGGGCCAGAGAACAAAGCTGTGGGGCCAGTATCAGCCCCCCAGGGACAGAGCACACAACCCATGAGTTCTCAGATAAGCCTTGGCTCCCTGAAATCTTCCAGAATCCACGCCAGTTGACTGAACTTACCTTACACCACAATCAAACTCCCAAGCTAAGATCACGCTACTGCACTCCAACCTGGGCAACAGAGACAGACCCTGTCTCAAAAAATAAAAAATAAATAAAAGAACATCAACCCACACAAATAAGAAAGAACCAGTGCAAGAACTCTGGCAACTGAAAAAGCCAGAGGGTCTTTTTACCTCCAAACAACTGCACTAGATTCCCAGCAATTATTGTTAACCAAGCTGAAATGGCTGAAATGACACAGAATTTAGAATATGAATAGCAGTGAAGATCATCGATATTCATGAGAGAGCTGAAACCCAATCCAAGGAATCTAAGGAATATAATAAAACAAAAAGGGAGCTGAACAACAAAATGGTCATTGTAAGAAAGATCCAAACTCATCTAATAGAGCTGAAAAGGCACACTACAAGAATTTCATAATACAACTGCAAGTATTAACAGCAGTATAGACCAAATTGAGAAAAGAATCTCAGAGTTTGAAGATTGGTTCACCAAATTAACTCAATCAGACATAAATAAAGAAAAAAGAATAAACACAATGTGTGATTAAGTATATAGACCAAACATACGACTCACTGATATCCCTGAAAGACAGGGAGAGAAGGCAAAAACTTGGAAACATATTTGAGAATATCTTCCATGAAAATTTCTCCAACCTTGCTAGAAAGGCCAATAGTCAAATTCAGGACATGCAGAGAACCCCTGCAAGATACTATACAAGACAACCATCCTGAAGACACATGGTCATCAGATTCTCCAATGTCAGAGAAAAAAATATTAATCAACTAGAGAAAAGAAGCAGGTCACCTACAAAGCGAACTCCATCAGGCTAACAGGGTACTTTGTAGCAGAAACCCTACAGGTCAAAAGAGATTGAGGGCATGTATTAAGCATTCTTAAAGAAAAAGACTCCAACCAAGAATTACATATCCAGACAAACTAAGCTTTTTAAGTGAAGGAGAAATAAAATCCTTTCAGACAAACAAATGCTAGAGGAATTCATAATCACCAGACTTGCCTTACAAGAGGTTCTGAAGGGAGTGCAAAATATGGAAACAAAGGACTGTTACCAGCCACCACCAAAAAAAACACTTAAGTACATAGACCACTGACAATATAAAACCATCACACACTCAAGTCTGCAGAATAACCAGCTAACAGCACAATGACAAGATCAGATCCGCACATATCCACATTAACCTTGAATGTAAATGAGATAAATTTCCCAATTAACAGACACAGTGTAGCAAGTTGGATAAAGAAGCAAGACCCAACTGTATGCTGTTTTCAAGAGACCCGTTTCATATGCAATAACACCTATGGGCTTAAAGTAAAGAGATGAAGAAAAATCTACCAAACAAACAAGCAAAAGAGTAGGGGTTGTTATTTCTAATTTCAGACAAAACAGACGTTAAAGCAACAATGATTAAAAAAAAAAAAAGGCCATTACAGAATGGTAAAGGTTTCAGTACAACCAAAAGCCCTAAATAATCTAAATATATATGCACCCAACACAGAAGCACCCAGATTCATAAAGGAAGTTCTTAGAGACTTTCAAAGATACTTACACTCCCACACAATAACAGTGGAGGTGTCAAAACCCCACTGACAGTATTAGACAGATAATTGAGGCAGAAAATTAACAAAGATAGTCAGGATCGGAACTCAGCACTGGATTTAATATACCTGACAGACATCTACAGAACTCTTCACCCAAAAATAACAGAATATACATTCTTTTCATTGCCAAATGGCACATACTCAAAAACTGACCACACAACTAGCCATAAAACAATCTTCAGCACATTCAAATAAACCAAAAGCAACCAACCACACTCTCAGACCACAGAATAAAAGAAGATAAATCAATAATAAGAAGATCATTCAAAACCATACAATTACATAGAAATTAAACAACCTGTTCCTTCCTGAGTGGCATCGGGGCAGACAATAAAATTAAGGCAGAAATCAAAAAATTATTTTAAACTAATGAGAACAAAGATGCAACATACCAGAATCTCCAGGACACAGGCAAAGCAGTTTAAGAAGAAAGTTTATAGTGCTAAATACCCACATCAAAATGTTAGAAAGATCTCAAGTTAACAACCTAACATTATACCTAGAGGAACTAGAAAAACAAGAGCAAACCAACCCCAAAGTCAACAGCAGACAAGAAATAATCAAAGTCTGCGCTGAACTGAATGAATCCAAGATGTGAAAAACCATCCAAAAAAATCAGCAAAACTTGAAACTGGTTATTCAAGAGAATAACTAAGATTGATAGGATGCCAGCTAGATTAACAAAGAAAGAGAGAGAAGATACAAATAAACACAATCAGAAATGAGAAAAGGGATGTTATCACTGATCTCTCAGAAATACAAAAGAAAAAAACCTCTCAAAGACTATTACAAACACCTCTATGCACACAGAGTAGAAAATGTACAAGAAATGCATAAATTCCTAGAAACATACAATCTTCCAAGATTGAACTGAGAAGAAATTCAAACCCTAAACAGACCAATAATGAGTTTCAAAATGTAATCAGTAATAAAAAGCTTACCAACCAGAGAAAGCCCAGAACCAGATGGATTCACAGCCAAATGCTACCAGACATGGGAAAAAGTGCTGATACCATTCCTACAGAAACTATTTCAAGAAATTGAGGAGGACAGACTCTTCCCTAATTCATGCTATAGGCCAGCATCATTCTAATATCAAAACCTGGCAGAGACAACACAAAAAGAAAACTTCAGGCCAATATCCCTGATGAACATCAGTGCAAAAATTCTCAACAAAATACCAGCAATCTGAATAGAGCAGCACATCAAAAAGCTAACCCACCATGATCAAATAGGCTTTAATGCTGAGATGCAAGGTTGGTTCAACATATGCAAATCAATAAATGTGATTCAACACAAAAACAGAACTAAAATAAAAAACTACAAGATCATCTCAATAGAGGCAGAAAAGGCTTTTGATAAAATTCAACATTCCTTCACTTTAAAAACACTCAACAAACTAGATATTGAAAGAACATACCTCAAATTAATAAAAGCCATCTATTATAAACCCACAGCCAACATCATACTGAATAGGTAAAAGCTGGAAGCTTTCCTCTTGAAAACTTAAACAAGACAAGGATGCCCACTCTCACCCCTCCTAATCAACACAGTTGACTTCCAGTAAACTGGAAATCCTAGCCAGAGCAATCAGGCAAGAGAAGGAAATAAAAGGTCTCAAAATGTGAAGATAGAAAGTAAAACTATCTGTTTGCAGACAATATGATTTTATGTCTATAAAATCTCAGTCTCTGCCCCAAAGCTTTTATATCTAATACGCAACTTCAGGAAGGTTTTGGGATACAAAATCAATGTAATCAGTAGCCTTTCTATACACCAACAACATCCAAGCTGAATGCCAAATCAAGAATGCAATCCTATTCACAATAGCCACACAAAAAATAAAGTACCGAGAAATACATCTAACTAGGAACATGAAAGATCTTTACAAGATTTAGAAAACAATACTAAAAGAAATCAGAGATGACACAACCAAACAGAAAAACATTCCATGATCATAGATAGGAAGACTCAATATTGCTTAAATGGCATACAGCCTAAAGCAGTTTACAGATTCAATGCTATTTCTATTAAATTACCAATGACATTCTTCACTAGTACTCTAATGGTATTCTAAACAGAATTAGAAAAAAAAACTGTTCTGAAATTCACATGGAACCAAAAAAGGGCCTAAAGAGCCAAAACTATCCTAAGCAAAAAAATAAAAATAAAATAAAATAAACAAAAAATTAAAAGCTGGAGGCATCACATTATCTGACTTCAAACTATACTACATGGCTACAGTAACTAAAACAGCATAATATTGGTACAAAAATAGACACAGACCAATGAAACAGACTAGAGAGCCCCAAAATAAAGCCACATACCTACAACCATCTGATCTTCAACAAAGTCAACAAAAACAAGCAATGGGCAAAGGACTCCCTATTTAATAAATGTTGCTGGGATAACTGGAAGGCCATATGCAGAAGATTGAGACTGGATGCCTTCCTTACATCATATATAAAACCTAACACAAGATGGATTAAAGACATAAATGTAAAACCTAAAACTATAAAAATGCTTGAAGAAAACCAAAGAAATACCACTCTGGACATAGATCCTGGCAAAGATTTCATAACAAAGATGCCAACAGTACTTGCAAAAAAAAAAATGGGCAAATGGAGCCTAATTAAACCAAAGACCTTCTGCCCAGCAAAAGAAACTTTCAACAAAGTAAACAGACAACCCACAGAATCATAGGAAGTATTTGCAAACTGAGCAAAGCTCTGACAAAGGTCAAATATCCCAAATCTATAAGGAACTTAAACAAATGAACAAGCAAAAAACAAACAACTCTATTAAAAAGTGGGCAAAGGACATCCACAGGTACTTTTCAAAACACATTTGTGCAGCCAATAAGCACATAAAAATGTTCAACATCACTAATCATTGGAGAAATGCAAGATATCATGAGAGATATCATCTCACACCAGTCAAAATGGCTATAATTAAAAACCCAAAAAATTACAGGTGCTGGCAAGGTTGTGGAGAAAAGGGAACACTTATACACTGCTGGTGGGAATGTAAATTAGTTTAGCCACTGTGGAAAACAGTTTGGGATATCTCAAAGAACTTAAAAAAGAACTACCATTTGACCCAGCAATCCCATTATTGGCTGTGTACCCCAAGAAATGTAAATCATTCTACCATAAAGATACGTGCATGCTTATTGCAGCACTACTCAAAATAGCAAAAACACAGAATCAACCTAAATGCCCATCAATGGTATAGTGTATAAAGAAAATGTGGTACATATACACCATGGATTACTATGCAGCCATAAAACAGAATGAGATCATGTTCTTTGCAGCAATGTGGATGGAGCTCGAGGTTTTTATCCTAAGTCAACCATCATGGGAACAGAAAGCCAAATACTGCATGTTCTCATTTATAAGTGGGAGCTAAACAATGAATACACATGGACACAAAGAAGGGAACAAGAGACCCTGGGGCCTACTTGAGGTTGAAGGGTGAGAAGAGCATGAGGTTCAAAAAACTACCTATCAGGTACTATGCTTATTACCTTGGTGATGAAATAATCTGTACACCAAACACCTGTGACACACAATTTACCTATAAAACAAACCTACACATATACCCCTAAAACTAAAATAAAAGTAAAAAAATAAAAATAAAAAAGCTGGGTGCAGTGGCTCACACCTGTAATCCCAGCAGTTTGGGAAGCTGAGGCAGAAGGATTTCTTGAGCCCAGAAGTTCAAGGCTAGCCTGGTCAACGTTATAGGATCCCATCAAAAGAAAGAAGGAAAGAGAGAGAGAGAGACATTAAGAAAGAAAGAAAGAAAGAAAGAAAGAAAGAAAGAAAGAAAGAAAGAAAGAAAGAAAGAAAGAGAAAGAAAGAAAGGAAGGAAGGAAGGAAGGAAGGAAGGAAGGAAGGAAGGAAGGAAGGAAAGAGAAAGAAAGAGGAGGGGAGGGGAGGGAGAGAGGAAGGAAGAAAGGAAGGAAGGAAGGGAGAGAGGAAGGAAGGAAGAAGGGAGGGAGGGAGGAAGGAAGGAAGATAGGAAGGAAGGAAAAAGAAAGAAAGAAAGAAGGAAAGAAAGAAAGAAAAAGAAAGTAAGCTAACTGAAGAAAACCTGAAAACCAGGACAGTCTAGACTAAAATAGAGGAAGTCATGGGATCTGAGCACATTTCTTCATACCAAGGAATTAGAAGTAAATTTAATCCCTAAAGATAGAATTACAAGAGGAAAGATACAAAAGACTTTAAAAAATCAAGAATTACAAGAGGACACAAATGGACTGCAGAATTCCATTGGCTCTGAGACAGTTTTGGCCTGAAGTCAAGCAGGTAGCACAGGAACCAAAGAAGCCTCAAAGAGATTACTGACATTGTGGAACACACAATTCTTTATAGTCTCAAAACTTCCCACAAATGATTTATCCATTGAAACATGGCTTTGCTGTGATAATACAAGTACCTCATCAAACTTTTGCTCCAATGGAAGACTTATTAGTCCCGGTCCCAGTCATTATCTGGGCAAGAGAAGAAGATAAATATCTGAATGTTTCTTGGTCCAAACTGTTCTATCGATACATCTTAATAGCTTTTTACCAGACTTAGTATCAATACTCACAGATCATATCACCATTCCTAACGTCTTTAATCAATGAACTAGTCTTTTTATTCATCCCATCCTTACTCAATCTCATTCGCATTCTTGACTTTAACACCCACCTCCCAGACTATAGAATTCCTCAAGTAAAATTACATCCACTAACATTTCATTTACAAGATGCACATTCACACTTTGGATTTTAGTATCTGACATTGCTTTGCCTCCACATTTATAAAATTCTGGTTTTTTCAGTGCAGAACTTGCTTGTATTAAGTTCTTTCTGAAGCTTCATTATGAACTCTGAACAACTAAACAAAACTAAATTTAAATTCAAACTTTTACATTTGCAGGCAATATGACTTTATGTGAGTTACTCCCAAACCTCACAGATGCCTCTCTGTATGGCAACATATCAGCATTGCTTGATGTAGCTCTTCACACTCAACTCACCATTAAAAATCTAAACAATATCAAAAAAAGACAAAACTGGCTACATTGTAAACTAAAAATGAGAAGAATATATAACAAGTCCAAAGGGAATTTCCATTTCTACTGTCTCAATAAAAATGGATTAAGAAACATTGTTGGACTATAAATCACATTTTCCACTATCTGAATAAAATATAGAAAGCTTCAAAAAGGGGAGGAAAAGGCTTTGACTGTTCTTTACTATGTGTCACCAACTCTGAGACACAGTGAATAAAATAATCAGCAAAATATATGACTGTCTTCCGACTATATTAGTCAAAGCCAGAATCACAAACTGTCATATTCTTTCATTCTTCTACTTTATTATTTTCCCTCTTCTTATATCTATACAAACACTACAATCTCCAATGCTCAACACAGCAGCAATCAGACAAGGTATTTGGAGGTAGAGTATATCCAGTCATTATTAGTTGCCTCAGTATGTCTAGATAAAAATGTTGACTGAGAAATAAAAAACAGAAGAAAATCAGAATTATTCTATTTGGAGATAAAATTTTTCCACATGACACTATACCAGAAAAGAAATGTACCTTTGTTCTAGTAAATCAAAGAATCCAATTTTTTAAACCAGAAAAGATGTAATGCCAGTCCAGTAGGTAGACGTAAGATGAATGACTCCTGGTGATTGTACAGTTCAACCTATTCACGATAAAATAAAAATTTTAATTTAAGAAGAGGAACTGCCAGGCATGGTGGCTCACGCCTGTAATCCCAGCACTTTGAGAGGCCAAGGCAGGTGGATCACTAGGTCAGGAGTTCAAGACCATCCTGGCTAACATGGTGAAACCCTGTCTCTACTAAAAATACAAAAAAAACCTAGCCGGGCATGGTGGCACATGCCTGTAGTCCCAGCTACTCGGGAGACTGAGGCAGGAGAATCCCTTGAAACAGGGAGGCGGAGGTTGCAGTGAGCCGAGATTGCACCACTGTGCTCCAGCCTGGGTGACAGAGTGAGACTGTCTCAAAAAAAAAAAAAAAAAAAAAGGGAAAAAAAAGAAAAGGAATTAAATTAGCATCTTCCAAGACAAGATAATAGATATAGTCTTTATAAAGCAGGAGATGAATCAGAAAGAAAAAATAAATTGAAATAAAGACACAGGTAAAAGGAAATGACTGAAATAAGAGAAATGCAAGGAAATTCAAAACACAATGCCAAAATAAAATCTACATATAAAAATAGTAAGGAAATTATTTTACAGAAATCCTTTTTACAGAGATTTTACAGAAACTAGAATCAGCAAATTTAATCCATAAATATATGAAAAGAATAGCATTTCCCAACCAAGTAGGGTTCATCCTAGAAATTCAGAACATTTCAACATTCAAATAACAATCAATGTAATCACCATATGATATAGCCTAGACATCTGCTCCTGCCCAAATCTCATGTTGAATTAGAAACCCCAATGCTAGAGATAGGACCTGGTGGGAGGTGTTTGGATCATGGGGGCAGATTCCTTATGGCATGGTGCTGTCTTCACCATAGTGAGTTTTCACAAGATGTGATCATTGAAAAGTGTGTGGCACCTCCCCCTACACATTTCTCCTGCTCCTGTTTTCACCATGTGATGTGCCTGCTCCTCTTTTGCCTTCTGCCGTGATTGGAGCTTCCTGAGGCCTCCCCACAAGCAGATGCCACTATGCTTCCTGAGCAGCCTGCAGAACTGTGAGACAATGAAACCTCTTTTCTTATAAATTACCCTGACTCAGATATTTCTTTATAATAGTGCAAAAATGGCCTAATACACCATGTTAACAGAGTAATAAGAAAAATTATATGATCATTTTATTGGATAAAAAAAGCGCTCGAAAAAATTGAACATCCATTCATGATTAAAAAAAAAAATACTCTCAGCAAACTAAGAATATAGGTGAAGCCTCCTAACATAACAAAGGGTATCAACACCTACCACTCACACGCCATTCCTATCCAACATTATGCTAAATGGTGAGAGACTGAATGCTTTCTCTGAAGATCAGGAAACTAGCAAGATGTCATTCCTCACCATGGCTATACAGCATCATACTGGAAATCCTGGCAAGTGCAATAAAGCAAGAAAAAATAATGAAAAGGAATATAGATTGAAAAGGCAGAAACAAAAATCTATTTGCACATGACACGATTGTGCCTGTAGAAAGTTTCAAAGAATCTATAAAACATCTCTTAAAACTAATAAGTGAATTTAACAAGGTTCCAGGGTTCAAAGTGTGTACTAGTCTGTTTTCATGCTGCTGATAAAGATATACCCGGGACTGGGCAATTTACAAAAGAAAGAGGTTTATTGGACTTACAGTTCCACATGGCTGGGGAAGCCTCACAATCATGGTGGAAGGCAAGGAGGAGCAAGTCATATGTTGTGCGGATGGCAGCAGGCAGAAAGAGAGCTTATGCCGGGGAACTGCTCTTTGTAAAACCATCAGATCTCGTGAGTCTCACTCACTATCACAAGAACAGCACAGGAAAGACTTGCCCGTGTGATTGAATTACCTCCCATGCAGTCTCTCCCCCAGCACATGGGAATTCAAGATGAGATTTGGGTGGGGACACAGCCAAGCCATACAAAAGTGAATACATGTAAAAGTCAATCATATTTCTATATATTAGCAATGAACATTTGAATCTTCAAATTAATAAAAATATAAATTACCATATCACAAAAAATTGAAATACTTTGGAATTAATCTAATAAAATATGAACAGGTACTATATGCCAAATGCTACAAATCACCAATAAAAGAAACGAAAAAAGATTTAAATAAGTAGAAAAATATACTACATTATGAACTCAAAGACTGAATTGTTAAGATATCAATTCTTCCTAATTTGATATATAGATACAGCACTATCCCAGTAGATATTCCAGCAAGGTTTTTTGACAGATATTGACAAGATTATTCCTAAATTTGTATGGTAAGCAAAAGAACTAGAATTGCCAAAACGACTATGAAAAGTTGAAGGACTCAAAATTATAGCAAATCAAGACAGTGTGGTATTGGCAAAAGAAATATAGTTTCCATGTGAAGAATCCATGATAGTCTGCTAGATGCTAGAGACATGAAGCCCAGTTCCCCGTGACCCCAAACAAGTGAGTGAAGCCATCAGGAACTCTACAACCCCCCAGGCATCCCACTATCTGACTGCAGCCACATGAATGAGCCCAAGACAGTCCAACAGTAGAACCATCCATCAGAAGCCAGCCAAAATTGCCCACCCACAGAATTATGAACTAATAAATGATTGTTGTTTTAAGTTTGGCGGATTTTTTTTACATAGCAATAAATAACTGTTAAACCATAGTAACCGCAATGCCAACTGGCAGCAGTGGAAATATGATGGTGGGGAAGCCAGCATGGAAAGAAACAGTGGTTATCTTAGCCAATTATGTTTAAATGCCTTACTTTTGCAAATTTTACAAAAGTATATTATCATATAAACACATTATTCTGAGCTTTGGAAGGGACAGGCATAAGTGGGAGACTGAATCTGGAGCTTCATTCAAGGTAAATCTACCTCTCGTAAGTGTCATGCTTAATGTTAAATCACTAACAATATCCCCCTTAAAGATATAGAGACTAAAGGATTGCCTGCTATAACCTTATCATATAATATTGCTGTATAAATCTTGCCCAATAAATTAACAATAATGACTATATTTAATGCTTATTATGTATCATCACTACACTAAGGATTTCACATGGATTATTTCACTTAATTATAACAACAACCTCATGAGGTAGGGACTATTATAACACTTTTCAGATGCAGAAACTGAGCCTTACAGGGTTTAATGGCCAAAAGTTACATAGTAAATGTCAGGTTTCCATTTTCAAAATCTGTGTTCTCCATGCCTGTAATCGCAGAACTTTGGGAGGTCAAGGTAGGTGGATCACTTGAACCAAGGAGTTTGAGACCAGCCTGGACAACATAAGAAGACCTCATCCCTTAAAACAAACAACAACAACAACAACAAAAATATTGTCTTAGTAACTACACTTAGTAGTGCAAGAAAGAAAAATGAGATAAAAGTAATGGACGAGATTATTTTAATTTTAATTATTACATTTTTCCCTATAACTTAAGGGGATTTCCTAATATATTTTCTATCTTTAAAGGAAAACAGCCTATGTTTAATTTAGAGCTAGTTATCTTACCTTATGATAACCACCTTACTGACTCTTCAATTATTTTAAGTTGATGCTCTATATTTATACTTATAGACAAACATCATCTGGAAATAGAGATGACTATATTTTTTTCCAAATAGACAATTCTATAGAAACCATTGGAAAAAGTTACAACTATTATATCTAATGAGACAGTTCATTAAAGTAATACATACAATATAAATTTTTTTAAGCCTAGTTTTCCTGAAAGCCAGCAATAAACTGAAAAACTATAATAGGGACATATAGTATTTAGAGGAGCGTTGTACCTAGAGATTGTGAATGAAATATGCAAAGCTTATATATGAAAAGCTTAATTTTCTTATGTAAAGAAAATTTCAAATATTTTATCAGTTACATAAAAGAACCTACAAATAAGTGAACCTACATAATAATTTACTATATGTGAAGTTGGAATATGTGAAGTTGTCAATCCTTGACAAATGACTTTGTAAGTTAAACTTCAACCCATTAAAGCCTCAAAATTGCTTGCCAACTTTCTTGTCTGAATTTTTTTAAGTGATGCCTTCACAGGTTTCAACACATCAAAGATAGAATATGATGAATCAAAGACCTACAAATAATAGCCAAAACTATAAAACTCTCTTGGAAGAAATCAAAGGAGAAAGGCTTCATGACAGTGGACTTGGCAATGATTTCTTGGGCATGACACCCAAAGCAAAGGCAACAAAAGTAAAAATAAATAAATTTGCTACATAAAAATTAAAAACTTATGTGCCTCAAAGGACACAACCAACAGAATGAAAAGGCAACTGGCAAAATGGGAGAAAATACTTGCAAATCATATCTCTGATAAGGAGTTAATAGCCATAATAAATTAAGAATTCCTACAACTCAACAGCAAAAAAAAAAAAAACCTTAACTTTAAAATGGGCAAAGGACTTGAATAGACATTTCTTCAAAGAAGATATACAAATGTCTAACAAGCACATGAAAATATGCTCAGCATCACTAATCATTAGGCAAATACAAATCAAAACCACAGTGATATACCATCTCATACCTATTAGGCTACTATTTTAAAAAACAGAAAATAGTCAAGTGTTGGTGCAGATATGCATAGAGTTCTAGTTTTGCAAGATAAAAAGAGTTCTGGGGATTGGTTGCACAACAGTGTGAATATATTTGACACTACTGAACTGTATGCTTATAAATGCCTAATTTGCTAAATTTTAGGTTATATGTATTTTACTACAACTAATTTTTTTTTTTTTTTTTTTTTTTTTTTTTTGGAGATAGGACCTTGCTCTACTGCCAGACTGGAGTGCAGAGGCACAATCATGGCTCATTGCTGCTTCAACCTCCTGGGCTCAAGCAATCCTTCCACCTCGGCCTCCCAAGTATCTGGGGACTACAGGTATGCACCATCACACCTGGCTAATTTTTTTAATTTTTTGTAGAGACAGGGTCTCACTATGTTGCCTAGGCTGGTATCGAACTCCTGGGTTTAAGCAATCCTCCTGCCTCAGCCTCCAAAACTGTTGGTATTATAGGCATGAGCCTCCACGCCCAGACAAAATTTTTTTTAGCGACACAAACACAGCATTCAGTGTATCAAAGATGCCATATGAAGAATTAAAGACCTAAGTATGAGAGCTAAAACTAAAAAAAACTTTAGAAGAAATTATAGGGATCAACTTTTATGACCTTGGATTTAGCAATGGTTTTGTAGATATGTGCCAAATGTATGAACAACAAAAGAAAAAATAAATATATTGGATTTCATCAAAATTTAAAAGTATACATATCAAAGGATGCTATTAAGAGAGTGAAAAGACAACCCAAGAATGGGAGAAAATATTTGCAAATCATATGTCTGACAAGGGTCTAGTATCCAGAATATACTTTTTTTAACTCTTACAATTCAACAACAAAATGGCAATCCAACTTTGTACATGAGCACATAGGTTTGGAGTTGAACACTTGAATAGATATTTCTCTGAAGAAAATATACAAGTGTCAAATAACCAAAAAAATGTTCAACATCTCTAGCCATTAATATAATGAATATTAAAGGTACAAAAGTATAATCTACATATTTAATCATAAAAATTAAAATATTAAATACTGACACCACCAAATGCTGGTCAAGATGTGAAGAAACTGGTTCACTCATACATAGTGAGAATGTAAAAAGTGTATTAGTGTCTGTTTTCTGAGTTTATTCCTTTAGTTAAACCTAAAATCACTATACATGTTCATGATAATTAGAATAGAAAAGGGACAAAGAACAAATAGAAATAAATTCTATTCCTTCTATATAGCAGTACTTTGTTGGGTATAGATGGAAAACATCAGTCAGGAGCATTAACTTGAGTTGATCGTCAAAAATGTAGTTACTTTTAGCATGTGTTTTGCTTTAGTATATATACAGAGGCTGTAACGAAGTTGAACTATCCCATCTTTCTTCTCATTTGTAATACAGTCATACAAACAAAAAGATGAATGCTACTAGAAGGAGGTCCTTATCAAAAATATGACCCAATGCATTTAGGTGACATGAAGAAAATCTTTTTTCTCCTAGGCCTGAGATCCTTCATCCAAAAACTTAGAAGATGGAATGAGATGATCTTTAAGTTTTGGCAATCTATGTACACACATCAATTATACATCATGACATAGCTAGACAACAAGGCTGTATTTTCTGGACCCATGATGGTAGGTTTGACCATGTGACTTACTTAAAACAACAATGATGCATGTATCTTCTAAGAGCCAACTGAAATGGTGTCATCTCCTTGTCCCTCTGTAAATAAAAAAGACAATGTCCCAAAAAGGGGTTGTTCCTTGAGCTTCAACCCTGAAGTGAAGATGACATGGAAGAATCAACAGCTGACATTAACCAATGGGGAAATACACCTCTGTTGTTGTTACTACAGCATCACCTAATACAAAATAATTACATACAAAAATTTGCTAATAATTGAGTATCGGTTCATAGTTAAGCTTTAAAACACAAAATTACCCAAACTTAATAGAAAACTATATAAAATGTGACACAATAGAAATAAGTTAAAAGCAACTTTAAAAAATGAAAAATAGTATTTGTAGTAAAAGAAATTGACAAACATATACACAGAATGTTTTTATTTTTATTTTATTTTTTTAAATTGGTGTACATAGAACTTTCCTTGTGATTTCTGAGTCCTAAAATCACTATCCCAAGTAAGAATCAATATTGCTAAAACCATTTTTCTTCATCATTAAAATGTTTCAAGATAATATTTCCATCATTATATAAAGGCCAATCCTCCTTAGCAATCCAGGTTTCCAAATATGATCTACGGGTAAGGCTTCTCCTGAAGTAATGCGACATAACCATAACATTAATTTCTTAGCTGTTAATTTGTTATCATTTTTAAGGCTAACTAGAGCACCTGGAAATTCTATGATCTTTCCAATGCTCCATGGGTGGCAAAAGAACCATTGGTTTTCTCTTCTCTTTGCTCCCTTTAAGTAGAAAACCTGGAAGTAAAATTCTTTCTAGTTATGAAAGAGATCCTATCAAACTAGATTTTAAAAACAAAGCCCAGCTGTATGTTGCTTACATGAGACATACTGTGTCAATGACTTATCCCCATCAGCATGCAACTTTAATTTTATCAATGCAACCTTTGCAGCTGTTTCACTATTTTTTGCACCTTTCTGTTGTTCACTTACTGTTTCTTCTGCCTTGGAATCAATAATGTCTTTAACGATTTTCTGAGAGGCAGCCATAGGAGACTTTTGGATTTCCAGTTTTTCACATTCATGGTCTGACTGATGATGGTGTCTCAGGCAAAAATTCTTCTCACAATAAATACATATAATTACCACAAGTTCTCATTCAGCACAGTCCTTGAATGAATGGATAAGACACATGTTTATCTGTTTTTAGTCCTCATTGATTACAGTCACCTCAGAACAACCATGAGACTCCTGGATTTGTATTCAAGGCAAAATATTCCTAAACAACCATAACATACAAATGGAGGAAAACCCACTGCTGCCATCCATGGAGCCAAAGCAGGGCTCAGGTCTCATGTGACCAAGGATGGGGATTCCCCAATCACCTTGATACCCGCAGTGCTACACCTGGCAGTGCTACTGGATGTTCAACTCCGTCATCTCCCAGGTGCCACAAGGGGCAAGGCAGAGCCTGAGGGGGTGGGATAATCTGTTAGTGTCTTATAAATAAATATGCAATTACCATGCACTGAGTAATTGCACTCTTGGGCATGTATCCTAAAGAAATGTAAAATTATATTTACCAATAAAACTGCACATGGATATTTATTATAACTTTATTTGTACTAGTTAAAACTGGAAAAAACCCAAAGTGTACTTCAACAGATGAACTGTTAAACTCGTAACAATAATATAGAGGCCTGTAATCCCAGCACTTTGAGAGGCCAAGGTGGGTGGATCACTTGAGGTCTGGAGTTCGAAACCAGCCTGGCCAATATGGTGAAACCCCATCTCTACTAAAAATACAAAAAAAGTAGCCAGGTGTGATGATGCACCCCTGTAATCCCAGCTACTTGGGAGGCTGAGGCAGGAGAATCACTTGAACCCAGGAGGTGGAGTTTGCAGTGAGCAGAGATCGTGCCACTGTACTCCAGCCTGGGCAACAGAGCAAGACTCCGTCTCAAAAATAATAGTAATGATAATATATAGACTATTATTGAGCAACAAAAGAAATAAACTATTGATACACACAACAATTTAGATGGATCTCAAGGGGATTTTGCTGAGTGGAAAAAAAACAGTCTTCAAAGGTTAGATACTGTATGATTCATTTATGTAGCATTCCTGAAATGACAAAATTACAGAGATAGAGAACAGAGTAGTAGTTGCCAGGTGTTGGAGATGAGAAGGAGGGAGGTGGTGGTGTTTATAAAAGGATAACAGAAAGGATTCTTGTGATGGAAGTACTTTGTATTTTGACTGTGGGTGGTAATAACACAAATCTACACATGTAATAAAATTACATAGAGCTAAGTACAGACATATGCAACAAGTGCATGTAAAACTGGCAAAATCTGAATAAGGTAAATGGATTCTATTAATGTCAATTTCCTGATTATGATATTGTACTATGGCTATGTAATATGTATATAACATTTGTAATCCCTGGGCCAGCAGCACTACCCAGCACTTGTTAGAAACACGAAACTCGTGGGCCTGACTTCAGACCTACTGAATCAGAAATACTGGATGGGGCTCAGCAATTTGCTTTTAACAAGCTCTTAGCTGATTCAGATGAATGCAAATGACTCTTAACCACTGCTTTAGCTTACAACCTGCTGATCCCTGGGGAACCATACCTAGGCTGGATGGAGACAACTGTTTATCACCCAAAGATCCAGGTTTTCAAGCTGGAAGCAGTAATTGCATGAGATTTGCAGGTTGATGAACTTGGGGAAGAGATGACTGTATTCCATAAAAGAGGAAAAAAGGTGTCTAAAAATGTTCTGTAGCCACAGGGATAGACTCTATTTGTTAACTGACCCAACTTCTCTCTTCCTGCCTTCTAGTCAGGAGTGGCCATGTGACATGTGACACTGTTCTGATTAATGAGATGAAAGTGGAAATCTGTTATGAGGTTCCTGGGAAAACTTGTGTTTTCTTGATCCACGTTTGGCCCCCTTTCCCTTTTGATCTACTGAGTGCACATGTAAGATATCTATCCTAAGGAAATAATCAGAAACGTATATACAAATTTAGCTCGTTATCTTTATCATAGTGTATTTAAACCCCATCTCTACTAAAAATACAAAAAATTAGCCGGGCGTGGTGGTGGGCACCTGTAGTTCCAGCTACTTGGGAGGCTGAGGCAGGAGAATGGCATGAACCCATGAGGCAGACCTGGCAGTGAGCTGAGATTGCACCACTGTACTCCAGGCTGGGTGCCTCAGTGACAGAGTGAGACTCCATCTCAAAAAAAAAAAAAAAAAGAAATAATCTTAGTGTTCAACAACAGGACTATAAATAATTTTTTGTATTTTTATAAGACGGAATTTTTGTGGCCATTATGGATGATGATCACTGAGACTTTTGATGATATGGAAAAACTTATAATATTAAGTGAAAAATCAAGATATAAAGCTATATACATATTTGATAAATAATTGCATAAATATATTCACATGCATATACACTTTCAATCTTCGCTTAAAAATAAATTTGTACTATAATCAATCTTTTAAGGTAAGAACTGTTCTTTAAGTATTGTCTAAGTGGAGTTTCAATAATTCTTTCTTACATAAAGCACACTGATAGTGATTTTTAATGTACACCCAAGTTTAAGAACCATTGGTATACTCTATATAGGTGTGTGTCTGTCTATATATGTAAATTTTTTTACGTGTAAGAACACTCCAAAATGTTAACAGAGCTATAACTGGGTGTAATTTCTCCATTATAATGAACTTTATATTACTGTGTCTTTGTTTTCATTTGTTTGTTTTTTGACACAGGGTCTTGCTCTATTACCCAGGCTGTAGTGCAGTGGCACCATCATAGCTCACTGCAGCCTCTAACTCCTGGGCTCAAGTGATCCTCCCACCTAAGCCTCCTGAGTACAGTCATATGCCACCATGCCTGGCTAATATTTTTTCAATTTTTTGTAGAGATGGGGGGGTCTCGCTTTGTTGCCCAGGCTGGTCTCAAACTCTTGGCTTCAAGCAATCCTCCCACCTCAGCTTCCCAAAATGCTGGGATTATAGGTGTGAGCCACTGCACCCAGGCCTTATTGTGTATGTTTGTAATTTTCTACTGCATAAGCATTATTACTTTTAATACAAGAAAAATGTAACTTTTAACATTAAAAAGAGAAGAGGAAATAATTCAAGCTCAAGGTAGAGCAACATAGAGCGAGAAGCATCTCAAAGACAGGAACGAGATGTCTGAGGGGTCTTAAATATCTGCCTTCAAATGGTATTTAAGCATCTCCTCCTCATCAGGCTCTAGTTTATCAATCAGGTTGAGCATTACAAATCCAAAATCTGAAATTTGAAATGCTTCTAAATCTGCAACTTCTTGAGCACCAACATGACGCTCAAAGGAAATGCTCATTGGATTATTTCGGATTTCAAACTGTCAGATTTGGGATGCTCAACCAGTATAATGAAAATATTCCAAAATTGGAAAAAAATTGAAATCTGAGACACTTCTGGTCCCCACCATTTCTGATAAGGGATACTCAATCTATAATAGCTACATGCCAGTTTACATGCTCCTCCCTGGTTCAAACAATGGAATCAGATCAATTTACAGAGTCTTTCAAAGAATTACAGCATACATATATATGCAAAGAACAAGTATAAGTTTATTTTAGTTGCATATAACTTTTTCCTTAATATGAGATAAACCATTTTCCTAACTTATGTTTTTGCCTTTGGGGAGCCTCTATTCTCAGATGCACAGAAAGCAGAAAACACATTGGGGAAAAAATCGCTCCTCAAGGAGTGGTGTGATCAATGCTCTTTCCATGCACCACCTCTCACTCCACTTCCACCTGGAAGATGTAATGCAGCAGGAGAAACCAGACCCTAAATATTTTACCAGGTGTTTTTCTAACAGTTTATGATTCTAGAATTCAAATTAGATTTTTAATTTTAGAATAAGGATTTTTAAATCATTAAAATTCTTCAGAAGCTTCCACTGCAGAGCTAGTAATAATAACAGATCATTGAAGCAACAGCCATCCCTCCCAAGGCAACACTCCAGCCATAATCAATTCACTTAATGCCCACGGGAGTCAGGTCTTTGTCTCCCTTACTGCCTCACCGTTTATTTCAATAGAGAACTGAACCCAAAAGGAATGAAATTTATAGTGCACTTTTTGCCACTGATAAACTATAGAATTAAATAGAACATATAATTTCTAAAATGAGCTATGCTGGTGAATTTATGTGAACAGTTACTTATGAGATGACTTGTGGGAAATCAAGGTAAGTTCACAATTACTGAACACGAAGCACCAACTGGAATTTCAAACGGGTAGAAGAGACGATAAGATACAACTATGCATATCTAATAGACATAGGATTCTACATTAATTTATATAGCTCTCCAGAGCCACATAATTCAGCTGGTTGTTTATTGAATTCCTTCATTCCTTTTGGAAAGATGACCTCAAGTTTTTGAATGGCTACATGGCTAAAAAATACCTAGCTTTTGGGGAAGGGTAAATTTAATTAACAGATATATTATTTTTAGAAAACGATTACAATTTTGTAGTTTCAAGGCAGATATAAATGAAGTCACTTGAAAGCTAAATGGTTACTTCCATTTCTACAGAGCAAGTCATGAGAACAAACTAGACGGTTCGAAGTCCATTTATCCAAGACAAAGGCTCTTTTGGAAGCTCAATCACCCAGTCCTTGGTTGATATATTCTGACACAGCTTTGATTTACCAGGGGATTTACAGGACTAGTTAATTAGAAAATCATTTAGCCAGATAAATTCACTATGCCTTTATCTCTGTTATGCTTATTCACTGACTAGGAGTAATCGTCGTTGCTAATCTATGCCTTCCTATACTGCTCTTAGTTTCTTTCCTGCTGATCCAATATGTATTGCCACCCTTTCTTGCAAACCTTTCACCTGTGCCCTCTGGAATCTCCAGGCCATGGAAAAAACAGATTTTTAAATATTATCAACGTGAATGTTTCTCATGGACATTTCTTCTCTTAAAAACTTCTGGCCGGGCGCGGTGGCTCACGCCTGTAATCCCAGCACTTTGGGAGGCCGAGGCGGGCGGATCACGAGGTCAGGAGATCGAGACCATCTTGGCTAACACGGTGAAACCCCGTCTCTACTAAAAATACAAAAAATTAGCCGGGCGTGGTAGCGGGCGCCTGTAGTCCCAGCTACTCGGGAGGCTGAGGCAGGAGAATGGCGTGAACCCGGGAGGCGGAGCTTGCAGTGAGCCGAGATCGCGCCACTGCACTCCAGCCTGGGCGACAGAGCGAGACTCCGTCTCAAAAAAAAAAAAAAAAAAAACTTCTCAGATGGTGCTTTTTATGTTCTTATCCTCCCTTAACCCCAAAGCTGATAGAATGAGTGTTCTCCTTACTCCTAAATGTTACTTAAAGACCTTTTTGTTTTTACCCTAACATAATAAACCCTTCTTTTTGCATAAGGTGATTAAGGAATGTTGGCATGTGTTAAAGATAAAAGGTGGTATATAGGGTAACACAAACTTTAGGAGAAAAGTGTTGCTTTCTTTTGAATATATTTATTATTTTTTATAATTCTATACTCCCAATTAGTTTCTAAGTTATATATTATATTGCTTTGTTTTTTAATGATTGCCTTAGAGATTATGACATCTATCTCAACTTAACAAAGTCTGATATTATTTTAACCTCCTCCAGGACAATACAAAGGCCTTAGAATACTTTACTACATTGGGCTGGATGTGGTGGCTCACGTCTGTAATCCTAGCACTTTGGGAGGCTGAGGCGGGCAAATCACTTGAGGTCAGGAGATGGAGACCAGCCTGGCCAACATATGAAACCCCATCTCTACTAAAGATACAAAACTTAACCGGGCATGGTGGCACACGCCTGTAATCCCAGCTACTGGGGAGGCTGAGGCAGGAGAATTGCTTGAACCCAGGAGGCGGAGGTTGAAGTGAGCCGAGATCACGCCACTGCACTCCAGCCCGGGCCACAGAGCAAGAATCCCTCTCAAAAAAAAAAAAGAAAAAGAAAAGTAAAAAGAAAGAAAATAATAATATTTTACTACATTGGCTACATTGGCTGGGTGTGATGGCTCACGTCTGTAATCCCAGGGAAGCCAAGGTGGGTGGATCACTTAAGGTCAGCAGTTCAAGACCAGCCTAGTCAATATGGTGAAAGCCCGCCTCTACTAAAAACACAAAAATTAGCCAGGTGTGGTGGCACGCCCCTGTAAGTCTCAGCTACCTGAGGCTGAGGTAGGAGAATCACTTGAGCCCAGGAGGTGGAGGTTGCAGTAAGTCGAGATTGGGCCACAGGACTCCAGCCTAGAGCGAGACTCTGTCTCAAAAAAAAAAAAAACACTTTACTACATTTACCCTCATTTTAATTTACATATTTGTTGATGTGATGTATTTTATTTCTCTGGATGGATAGATAGATAGATAGATAGATAGATAGATAGATAGATAGAGTGGAAGATATAGTCCATACTCAACACAAAACACTTCTGTGACCAGATTTATGGGGGTTTACCCCCATACCAAGTAATTTCACAATACTTGCTGATGTCTTGTCAATACTTTAGTTCAATTCTGATACTATCTAACTGAAGATAGTGTCAGATCCCACAGATTAAGGGCTCAGCTCCACAGAACTGCCCCACTTCTGATGCCAATCACAAATCCTAGCCTCTGGAACTTCTGATTGACAAGCTATAAGTTGGGGTTTTTCAAGCCCCTTTCCTTGGGTTCAGTCATTTGCTAAAGCATCTCACAGAACTCAGAAAAGTGCTTTATTTCCATTTTCCAGTTTATTATAAAAGATACAGTGGAGTCCTAATAAAATAAGTAAGCCACAGCAAGGAGAGGGCCTGAGGTAGGGAAGAACAATTGTTCTGAAAGACAGTTAATCACAGACAATCTGCTGGCATGACATCCTACTCCCAGATACCTTGTTCCACATGTAGCCCCACCAGAATGACCTTATCTACAAAGCCCCGCTAGTATGACCTTATAAAACTTCCCTCCAGCTCCTGCCTCTTTGCAGACAGCCCCTTCTCTGCTGTGCTGCCCCTTGCTTCCTGGCAATGCACTTTCCCTCTAATAAATCTTTATTTCTTTCTCCACATCTGTCTTGATAAATTCTTTTACCACCTGCAATGCTGGCCCCAGCCAGTGGCACCCATGACAGATACTAAAAAGGATACAGATGGGGATGCATAGGGCAAGCTATGCGGGAAGGGGTACAAAGCTTTCATCCCTTTCCAGGTGCATCATCTTTCTAGCAGCCCCATGTGTCCAAAAGCTCTCTGAACCCCTTCCCTTAGGGTATTTTTTTTTTGAGGCTGCACTTTGTGGCTGTGATCAATTAAGTCACTGGCTATAGGTGATCAACTCTACCTTCATTCCCTCTCCCCTCCTGTAGTGAGCCGAAAGTTTCAAATCTCTAATCACATGGTTGGATTCCCTGGCAATCCCCCCTCATCTAGAGGCTATCCAGGAGCCCCCACCCATCACTCATCTCATTAGCATAAAATAAGACACATCACATTGGAGATTCCAAGGGTTTTAGGAGCTGTGTGCCAGAAAATAGGGTTGAAGACCAAATGGATATTTGTTATTATAAATCACAATATCTTAGACACAGAGAGAAGATAGGTAGGTAGGTAGGTAGATAGATAGATAGATAGATAGATAGATAGATAGATAGATGACAGATAATAGATGGATAGATAGATAGATAGAATTCTAAATACCATAAGACAGTTTTATCATTGTTTTAAACCACATTAATTTAAACTTACCTCTTTCTTTGCTCTCCATTTCTTTCTATACCTCTGATCTTCCATCCAGGGTAATTTTCCTTCAACCTAAGGAATACCCATTGAAATTTATTTTATTGTGATTATCTCTGTTTCTGTTGATCTGAAAATTTATATACTATTTTCTTATATCCAAAGGGTATTTTTGGTTTGTAGAGCTTATATTTCAGTTGTCATAATTGTCAGCACCTTGAAGAAGTCATTCCACTGTTTTCTGGCCTGCAGATTTGTTGAGAATTCATTTGTAAATCCAATTGTTGCTTCCTTGATGGCAGCCTATCTTGTTTGTATAGCTGCTTTAAAGGTTTTCTATTTGGTTTGTTTTATGCAATTTCTCTATGAAGTGTCTAGATGTACTTTTCTTTTTATTCAACTGCCATGGGATTCATTGGATTTTTGTGTATTGATGTCTTTCACCAGTTCTAAAAGTCTCAGCCATTATCTCTTCAAATATTTGTAAAAGATATTACAAAATGTCACTTTTTATAGCTGCTAGTTTTCTGGCCAATTTTTCAGGCTTGGCCTTTCTGTTTGTAAACACAGAAATATCACTGTTTTATAGACTGTGTCTGATAATTCCAATCTCCAGGTCTCTGGGGGTTTGTTTATGTTTCTTGATTTTTCTTCTGGTTTTCCCCAACTTATTTTGTCCCTTTGTTTTCTTTGATTATATGCTATACGTTTTATTTGAAAACATCCGTATAGAAATTGTTATAGGCCACAGATAATATTATTTTCTCCTGAAAGTACTTTTATTTTCTTCTGCTAGGCTCCTAAAGTCTGGGAACATATTAATCCAAGTTCAAGAACAGAGATGTTTTTATGCTAATAAAATAAGTGGTCATCTTGGAAACCCCAAACATGTGATCCCAGGCTCTGACTATTGCTCTCTTGACTACCCAAAATACTGCTCAGCCTATCAACTGCCAATGTCAAATAAGCAAATATTCTCTAGGTGAAACTTCAGTGTTCCCAGACTTCCCTGCATCCTGCATGTCAATCCAGTAATTGTTTTATATATATATGCCTTTAGTTAGATGCCTTCAGTTACAGATATATGTATATGTATGTATGTACATAACATAACTAATATATATCTCTATACATATATATCATACATACACATACATACATATATATTAGTTGTGTCCAGTGGGAAGGTTTGTCCAAATTATCCAGTCTGATGTTACTGGCCTTTCCTTTCTTTCCTGTAACTAAACTTATCTTGATTTTGAGCTTCCATCCTGCTAGGTAGTAAGCGGAAATAATTTACACTTTCTAACTAAGGGCATCTTTGGCTATTTACTTTTATAATAGTAAATTCAGTCTCTTTTGAAAAAAATGTGTCTTTTGGGACAATATCAAGTGCTGTCTAATTTCTCCCCTCCCCCTCTACCCAAGAGGTAATCAATTATACTTGAAAACTTATGAAGGAGCTCAGGAAATTTCACCCCCAAAATATAACATCCTTATATGTTGATTATTTTAAATTAATGGCCCTTGAAGGTCAGCAGATGCTTGAAGAGGCTCTATACTGATATTCCTTTATCTATTTTAAGACTAAACCAGGGGGATGGCAGCATTGAGAGGGAAATGAAGGATTCAACCAGGATTGGCTCAGAGCCAAGAGGGACTCATTAGTGCTGGGAAAAGATAAGTGGGAGATCCTCATTACCAGTGTGGATTACTGCAATCCTAGCTACAGGAGACCCCCACAGTTCTCAGAGGCCCTGAGATTAGTACAGGAAGTTGCCTAGAGTCCATATGGCTTCATTGCTCTAGAAAAGGAATTCATGTTGGGTCTCCCCTACTTGCCAAGACCCAAAATGCTACAGTTTGGTGCCATTCTGAGAACAGAGCTAGAGTGCATCCTGCACTAGAGGCCAATAGCTCCTGCATCTCCACATCCTTGAGGCCAATCATCAACCTAACATGCTCACACAAAAGGCTGGAACACCACAACCCCAGCTACACCAGGAAGTACAACCATGACAATAGCACATGAGCCCATGAAGCACCCTGCACCCTAAGAAACGGGGGATTTAACACAGCAAGTAGACCATCCCCAAGACTGAGGTAACCAACAAATGTGTCCCCCAAGGCCCAAAGACCAGCACATGTAGTATCTACCACCACTAAGGGGACCCCATCCACCTCAACCAGTGAAGACACCATGCATTATGTGCACCTGCCAGGGCAAAAGTATCAGTTTGCTCAGCACCCACCATTGCTAGTGATGACAACAACTCCATGACTGGCAGAGCTGCCATACATGCTACACACACACACACCAAGGGCCTGAGAACTGACCCATCTCTGTCCCCAGCAAAACCATACCACTACCTTAACAAACACCTGCAGTTCTTAGGACATTGAGGCACTCACAGACATCGCTGATATTTATTACAGCCAAAGAAATCACTTGGAGACTACACTACAGCACCAACCTAAAACCAAAGCCAAAACACTCTACCTAACTGATACTGTAGGAAACATCTGCGTGAAAAAGTTTCCTCCACAAAAACTACTCCATAAAATTGTAATAAGCAGCTATTCCACCAGATGCACAGATATCAATGAAGGGACACACACACACACACACAAAAAAAAAAAAACATAAAAAAGCAAGGAAAGATGACACCTTAAAAGGAACACAATAACTATGCGGGAACCAACCCTAAAGAAAAGGGAATGTATGAAATGTCTGAGAAGGAATTTAAAATAATGATCTTAAGGAGACTCCATGAGATACAAAAAAAATACAGGTAGACAATTCAACAAAATCAGAAAAACAATACATAATCTGACTGAGAAATTTAACAGAAATAGATATCATTTAAAAAGAAACAAACAGAAATCTCAGAAATGAAGAATTAAATGAATGAAATAAAAAATATAATCAAGAACTTCAACCACAGACTAGATCAAGCAGAAGAAAGAGTTTCTGAACTTTAAGACAGGTTCAGAAAGTTTCAAAAGACAGGCCTTTTGGGAGGAGCCAAGATGGCCGAATAGGAACAGCTCCGGTCTACAGCTCCCAGCGTGAGCGACGCAGAAGACGGGTGATTTCTGCATTTCCATCTGAGGTACCGGGTTCATCTCACTAGGGAGTGCCAGACAGTGGGCGCAGGCCAGTGTGTGCGCGCACCGTGCGCGAGCCGAAGCAGGGCGAGGCATTCCCTCACCTGGGAAGTGCAAGGGGTCAGGGAGTTCCCTTTCCGAGTCAAAGAAAGGGGTGACTGACGCACCTGGAAAATCGGGTCACTCCCACCCGAATATTGCGCTTTTCAGACCGGCTTAAAAAACGGCGCACCACGAGACTATATCCCACACCTGGCTCAGAGGGTCCTACGCCCACGGAATCTCGCTGATTGCTAGCACAGCAGTCTGAGATCAAACTGCAAGGCAGCAACGAGGCTGGGGGAGGGGCGCCCGCCATTGCCCAGGCTTGCTTAGGTAAACAAAGCAGCCGGGAATCTCGAACTTGGTGGAGCCCACCACAGCTCAAGGAGGCCTGCCTGCCTCTGTAGGCTCCACCTCTGGGGGCAGGGCACAGACAAAAAGACAGCAGTAACCTCTGCAGACTTAAGTGTCCCTGTCTGACAGCTTTGAAGAGAGCAGTGGTTCTCCCAGCACGCAGCTGGAGATCTGAGAACAGGCAGACTGCCTCCTCAAGTGGGTCCCTGACCCCTGACCCCCGAGCAGCCTAACTGGGAGGCACCCCCCAGCAGGGGCACACTGACACCTCACACGGCAGGGTATTCCAACAGACCTGCAGCTGAGGGTCCTGTCTGTCAGAAGGAAAACTAACAACCAGAAAGGACATCTACACCGAAAACCCATCTGTACATCACCATCATCAAAGACCAAAAGTAGATAAAACCACAAAGATGGGGAAAAAACAGAACAGAAAAACTGGAAACTCTAAAACGCAGAGCGCCTCTCCTCCTCCAAAGGAACGCAGTTCCTCACCAGCAACGGAACAAAGCTGGATAGAGAATGATTTTGACGAGCTGAGAGAAGAAGGCTTCAGACGATCAAACTACTCTGAGCTACGGGAGGACATTCAAACCAAAGGCAAAGAAGTTGAAAACTTTGAAAAAAATTTAGAAGAATGTATAACTAGAATAACCAATACAGAGAAGTGCTTAAAGGAGCTGATGGAGCTGAAAACCAAGGCTCGAGAACTACGTGAAGAATGCAGAAGCCTCAGGAGCCGATGCGATCAACTGGAAGAAAGGGTATCAGCAATGGAAGATGAAATGAATGAAATGAAGCGAGAAGGGAAGTTTAGAGAAAAAAGAATAAAAAGAAATGAGCAAAGCCTCCAAGAAATATGGGACTATGTGAAAAGACCAAATCTACATCTGATTGGTGTACCTGAAAGTGATGTGGAGAATGGAACCAAGTTGGAAAACACTCTGCAGGATATTATCCAGGAGAACTTCCCCAATCTAGCAAGGCAGGCCAACGTTCAGATTCAGGAAATACAGAGAACGCCACAAAGATACTCCTCGAGAAGAGCAACTCCAAGACACATAATTGTCAGATTCACCAAAGTTGAAATGAAGGAAAAAATGTTAAGGGCAGCCAGAGAGAAACGTCGGGTTACCCTCAAAGGAAAGCCCATCAGACTAACAGCGGATCTCTCGGCAGAAACCCTACAAGCCAGAAGAGAGTGGGGGCCAATATTCAACATTCTTAAAGAAAAGAATTTTCAACCCAGAATTTCATATCCAGCCAAACTAAGCTTCATAAGTGAAGGAGAAATAAAATACTTTATAGACAAGCAAATGCTGAGAGATTTTGTCACCACCAGGCCTGCCCTAAAAGAGCTCCTGAAGGAAGCGCTAAACATGGAAAGGAACAACCGGTACCAGCCACTGCAAAATCATGCCAAAATGTAAAGACCATCGAGACTAGGAAGAAACTGCATCAACTAACGAGCAAAATCACCAGCTAACATCATAATGACAGGATCAAATTCACACATAACAATATTAACTTTAAATATAAATGGACTAAATTCTGCAATTAAAAGACACAGACTGGCAAGTTGGATAAAGAGTCAAGACCCATCAGTGTGCTGTATTCAGGAAACCCATCTCACGTGCAGAGACACACATAGGCTCAAAATAAAAGGATGGAGGAAGATCTACCAAGCCAATGGAAAACAAAAAAAGGCAGGGGTTGCAATCCTAGTCTCTGATAAAACAGACTTTAAACCAACAAAGATCAAAAGAGACAAAGAAGGCCATTACATAATGGTAAAGGGATCAATTCAACAAGAGGAGCTAACTATCCTAAATATTTATGCACCCAATACAGGAGCACCCAGATTCATAAAGCAAGTCCTGAGTGACCTACAAAGAGACTTAGACTCCCACACATTAATAATGGGAGACTTTAACACCCCACTGTCAACATTAGACAGATCCATGAGACAGAAAGTCAACAAGGATACCCAGGAATTGAACTCAGCTCTGCACCAAGCGGACCTAATAGACATCTACAGAACTCTCCACCCCAAATCAACAGAATATACATTTTTTTCAGCACCACACCACACCTATTCCAAAATTGACCACATAGTTGGAAGTAAAGCTCTCCTCAGCAAATGTAAAAGAACAGAAATTATAACAAACTATCTCTCAGACCACAGTGCAATCAAACTAGAACTCAGGATTAAGAATCTCACTCAAAGCCGCTCAACTACATGGAAACTGAACAACCTGCTCCTGAATGACTACTGGGTACATAACGAAATGAAGGCAGAAATAAAGATGTTCTTTGAAACCAACGAGAACAAAGACACCACATACCAGAATCTCTGGGACGCATTCAAAGCAGTGTGTAGAGGGAAATTTATAGCACTAAATGCCTACAAGAGAAAGCAGGAAAGATCCAAAATTGACACCCTAACATCACAATTAAAAGAACTAGAAAAGCAAGACCAAACACATTCAAAAGCTAGCAGAAGGCAAGAAATAACTAAAATCAGAGCAGAACTGAAGGAAATAGAGACACAAAAAACCCTTCAAAAAATTAATGAATCCAGGAGCTGGTTTTTTGAAAGGATCAACAAAATTGATAGACCGCTAGCAAAACTAATAAAGAAAAAAAGAGAGAAGAATCAAATAGACACAATAAAAAATGATAAAGGGGATATCACCACCGATCCCACAGAAATACAAACTACCATCAGAGAATACTACAAACACCTCTACGCAAATAAACTAGAAAATCTAGAAGAAATGGATAAATTCCTCAACACATACACTCTCCCAAGACTAAACCAGGAAGAAGTTGAATCTCTGAATAGACCAATAACAGGCTCTGAAATTGTGGCAATAATCAATAGTTTACCAACCAAAAAGAGTCCAGGACCAGATGGATTCACAGCCGAATTCTACCAGAGGTACAAGGAGGAACTGGTACCATTCCTTCTGAAACTATTCCAATCAATAGAAAAAGAGGGAATCCTCCCTAACTCATTTTATGAGGCCAGCATCATTCTGATACCAAAGCCAGGCAGAGACACAACCAAAAAAGAGAATTTTAGACCAATATCCTTGATGAACATTGATGCAAAAATCCTCAATAAAATACTGGCAAACCGAATCCAGCAGCACATCAAAAAGCTTATCCACCATGATCAAGTGGGCTTCATCCCTGGGATGCAAGGCTGGTTCAATATACGCAAATCAATAAATGTAATCCAGCATATAAACAGAGCCAAAGACAAAAACCACATGATTATCTCAATAGATGCAGAAAAAGCCTTTGACAAAATTCAACAACCCTTCATGCTAAAAACTCTCAATAAATTAGGTATTGATGGGACATATTTCAAAATAATAAGAGCTATCTATGACAAACCCACAGCCATTATCATACTGAATGGGCAAAAACTGGAAGCATTCCCTTTGAAAACTGGCACAAGACAGGGATGCCCTCTCTCACCGCTCCTATTCAACATAGTGTTGGAAGTTCTGGCCAGGGCAATCAGGCAGGAGAAGGAAATAAAGGGTATTCAATTAGGAAAAGAGAAAGTCAAATTGTCCCTGTTTGCAGACGACATGATTGTTTATCTAGAAAACCCCATTGTCTCAGCCCAAAATCTCCTTAAGCTGATAAGCAACTTCAGCAAAGTCTCAGGATACAAAATCAATGTACAAAAATCACAAACATTCTTATACACCAACAACAGACAAACAGAGAGCCAAATCATGAGTGAACTCCCATTCACAATTGCTTCAAAGAGAATAAAATACCTAGGAATCCAACTTACAAGGGATGTGAAGGACCTCTTCAAGGAGAACTACAAACCACTGCTCAAGGAAATAAAAGAGGACACAAACAAATGGAAGAACATTCCATGCTCATGGGTAGGAAGAATCAATATCGTGAAAATGGCCATACTGCCCAAGGTAATTTACAGATTCAATGCCATCCCCATCAAGCTACCAATGACTTTCTTCACAGAATTGGAAAAAACTACTTTAAAGTTCATATGGAACCAAAAAAGAGCTCGCATCACCAAGTCAATCCTAAGCCAGAAGAACAAAGCTGGAGGCATCACGCTACCTGACTTCAAACTATACTACAAGGCTACAGTAACCTAAACAGCATGGTACTGGTACCAAAACAGAGATATAGATCAATGGAACAGAACAGAGCCCTCAGAAATAATGCCGCATATCTACAACTATCTGATCTTTGACAAACCTGAGAAAAACAAGCAATGGGGAAAGGATTCCCTATTTAATAAATGGTGCTGGGAAAACTGGCTAGCCATATGTAGAAAGCTGAAACTGGATCCCTTCCTTACACCTTATACAAAAATCAATTCAAGATGGATTAAAGATTTAAACGTTAGACCTAAAACCATAAAAACCCTAGAAGAAAACCTAGGCATTACCATTCAGGACATAGGCGTGGGCAAGGACTTCATGTCCAAAACACCAAAAGCAATGGCAACAAAAGCCAAAATTGACAAATGGGATCTAATTAAACTAAAGAGCTTCTGCACAGCAAAAGAAACTACCATCAGAGTGAACAGGCAACCTACAACATGGGAGAAAATTTTCGCAACCTACTCATCTGACAAAGGGCTAATATCCAGAATCTACAATGAACTCAAACAAATTTACAAGAAAAAAACAAACAACCCCATCAAAAAGTGGGCAAAGGACATGAACAGACACTTCTCAAAAGAAGACATTTATGCAGCCAAAAAACACATGAAAAAATGCTCATCATCACTGGCCATCAGAGAAATGCAAATCAAAACCACTATGAGATATCATCTCACACCAGTTAGAATGGCAATCATTAAAAAGTCAGGATCAACAGGTGCTGGAGAGGATGTGGAGAAATAGGAACACTTTTACACTGTTGGTGGGACTGTAAACTAGTTCAACCATTGTGGAAGTCAGTGTGGCGATTCCTCAGGGATCTAGAACTAGAAATACCATTTGACCCAGCCATCCCATTACTGGGTATATACCCAAAGGACTATAAATCATGCTGCTATAAAGACACATGCACACGTATGTTTATTGCGGCATTATTCACAATAGCAAAGACTTGGAACCAACCCAAATGTCCAACAATGATAGACTGGATTAAGAAAATGTGGCACATATACACCATGGAATACTATGCAGCCATAAAAAATGATGAGTTCATGTCCTTTGTAGGGACATGGATGAAATTGGAAACCATCATTCTCAGTAAACTATCGCAAGAACAAAAAACCAAACACCGCATATTCTCACTCATAGGTGGGAATTGAACAATGAGATCACATGGACACAGGAAGGGGAATATCACACTTTGGGGACTGTGGTGGGGTTGGGGGAGGGGGAAGGGATAGCATTGGGAGATATACCTAATGCTAGATGACATGTTAGTGGGTGCAGCGCACCAGCATGGCACATGTATACATATGTAACTAACCTGCACAATGTGCACATGTACCCTAAAACTTAAAGTATAATAAAAAAAAAAAAAAGAATTATTAAAACAAACAAACAAACAAAAAAAAAAAAACAAAAGACAGGCCTTTTGAAATAACCCAATCAGACCAAAAAAAAAAAAGAATGTAAAAAGTCTGTAAGTCTACAGGACCTATGAGACACCATTAAAATAACAAATATTCACATTAAGGTAATTTCAAAAGGGAAATACATAGCAAAGGACAGAGAAAACCAATTTTATAAAATACCTGAAAACTTACTAAATCTTGACAGAGATAGGGACATCCAGATCAAGGAAGCTCAAATAAAGTCAACCCAAAAAAAATCTCTCTGAAGCACACTATAGTCAAACTGTCAAAAGTGAAAGACAAAAAGAGAATTCCAGAAAAGAGCAAGAGAAAATTTTCAAGTCGTGTATAAAAGGATTTCCATTAAACTAACAGCAGAAATCTTACAGGCCAGGAGAAAACAGGTTGATATATTCAAAGTGCTTTTAAAAACAAAAAACAGAAAACAAAAAACTAAGCCAGGAACGCTTTACCTAGCAAGCTATCTTTCAGAAATGAAGGAGAAATAAAGTCTCTCTCAGACAACAAATACTGAGAGAATTCATCACTAGACTGGCCTCACAAGCAATGCTTAAGGGAGTCCTACATCTGGAAGTGAAAGAACAGTAAATACCATCATAAAAACACACAAATATATAAAATTCACTGCTATAGCAGACACATATGTGCAAGAAAAATAAATCAAACCTTATCACTATAGAAAGCCACCAAACCACAACAGAGAAGGAGAAAACACAGACACACAGACCAATGGTACAGAAGGGAGAACTGAGAAATAAATTCACTTATTTATAGCCACCTGATTTTCCAGCAAGGTGCCAAGAACACACTTTGGGTAACTGATATCCTCTTCAATAAATGGTGTTGGGAAAACTGGACATCCATATGCAGAAGAATAAAGCTAGATTCCTATTTCTCATCATATACAAAAATCAACTCAAAATGAATTAAAAAATTAAATTTAAGACCTGAAACTCCATCTTCCCCCTCCCCTATGAAGAAGAGTATTTAAGCATATGTACCTCACTGGGTTGTTGTGTAAACTTCTAATTTAATTAAAGAATTAAATGTAAGACCTGACTCTCCATCTTCCCCTTCCCCTTTGAAGAAGGGTACATAAGCATCTGTGCCTCACTGGGTTATTATGTAATCATTCTCCTGTGATTCCCCCATGCTTATGCAAATTAAATAAATTTGTATGCACATTAAATAAATTTGTATGCCTTTTACTAGAAGAAAACATAGAGAAAATGCTATAGGTCATTTGTTCTGGGCAAAATTTTTGTGGATAAGACCTAAAAAGCACAGGCAGCAAAAGCCAAAATAGACAACTGGGATTACATAAAATAAGCTTCTGCGCAGCAAAGGACACAATCAACAGAGTGAATAGACAACCTACAAAATGAGGTAAAATATTTGCAAACCATTCATCCAACAAGAGACTAATAGAATATACAAGGAACTCAACTAACATTTAAAAAAACAAATAATCTTATTAAAAGATGGGCAAAGGATCTGAATAAACTTTTCTCAAAGGAAGACCTACAAATGACCAACAGGTTATGTGAAAAAAATGTTCAACATCACTGATCATCATAAAAATGCAAATCAAAACCACAATGAGATATCATTTCACCTCACTTAGAATGGCAATTAGCAAAAAGACCAAAAAAACAACAAATGCTAGTGAGGATGAGGAGAAGGGCTAGTCTCAAACTCCTGGGTTCAAGCAATCCTCCCACTTCAGCCTCCCAAAGTGCTGGGATTATAGGCATAAGCCATCATGCCTGGCCATGAACACTTACACACTGTTGGTGGGAATGTAAATTAATAAATTCTTTATAGGAACAGTATGGCGGCTCCTCAAAAAACTAAAAAGAGAATGACCATGCAATCCAGCAATTCCACTAATGGGTATTTATCCCCAAAAAAAGGAAATCAGTATGTGAAAAAGACACCTGCATTCCCATGCTTACTGCAGCACTACAGACAATAGCCAAGACATGGAACCAACCTAAGTGTCCATCAATGGGTGAATAGATTTTTAAAATGTGGCACATATCCACATTGAAATACTATTTAGCCATTAAAAAATGAACTTCCGTCATTCACAGCAACATGGATAAGCCTGGAGGGCATCATATTAAGTGAAATAGATCAAGCACAGAAAGATAAATACGCTATATTCGCACTCATGTGGAAGCTTAAAAAGCCAATTTCATAGACGCGAAGGACAGAATAGTGGTTACTAGAGGCTGGGAAGGGTAGGGGAGAGAGAATGATAAGGAGAAGTTGGTTAACAGATACAAAATTACAGCTAGAGAGGAGGAATAAATTTTAGTTTTCTATAGCTCTGTAGGGTGACTATAGTTAATAATAATTTACTGCATATTTTCAAGTAGCTAGAAGATAGGATGTTGAATGTTTCCAACACAAAAAAATAATAAATTCTTGAGGTGATGAAAATGCTAGTTACCCTGATTTGGTCATTATACATTGTATACATGTATCATAATATCACACTGGCCAGGCATGTTGGCTCATGCCTGTTCAGCAATTTAGAAGACTAAGGTGGGAAGATCACTTAAGGCCAGGAGTTCAACACTAGCCTGAGTAACACAGTGAGATCCCTTCTCTACAAAAAATGTAAAAATTATCCAGGCATGTTGGCATGTGTCTGAAGTCCCAGCTACTCGGGAAGCTGAGGCAGAAGGATTCCTTGAGCCCAGGAGTTCATAATTACAATGAGCTATGTATAATGGTGCCATTGCACTCCAGCCTGGGCAACAAAGCGAGATCCCTTCTATTTAAAAAGAAAAAAAACACACCGTATCCTCTAAATATGTGCAATTATTATGTGTCAATTAAAAAATTAGTTTCATAAATGATTTAACTGGCCAAAGAAAATACAACTGCTTTCCATTATCTCATTATCTATCCCAGAAAAAAAAGACTAAGGAATAAAACCACACCTGGAAGGACTTTTTCTCAAGATAATGTCTGCCCCACAGGACCATTCAAATTCCAAATAGAATTATTTACAAGTTAGTTTCTGTCTCCCTGGTCCATTCATTCTCCCTAATAATCATTTACTACTCCTCAAAGGAATTGTCTACAATCTCCATCTTCCCCTTCCCCTATGCAGAAGGGTACATAAGCATCTGTGCCTCACTGGGTTTTGTGTAATCATTCTCCTGTGATTCCCCCATTTAATGTGCTTATTTAATGTGCTTATTATTATTTAATGTGCTTATTCACATTAAATAAATTTGTATCCCTTTTATTCCTGCTAATCTGTCTATCATCAAATCATTTTAGCAGACTTAGACTCTAACCTTCAGAGGGAAAGTTTGAACTTCCCTCACTTAACATATTCTTAAATAAATGAGGGAGGCACCTTGAGTCCATGTATGTAATCTTCGGTTAGCCTCTGAAACTTACTGGCCTCCAATTCTGAAATGTACAGGTGATAAATTTCTTGGTCTGTTTTCTAGGTACAATCATTGTCTGGTGGCCACACCTTAGCTCTTTCTGAGGTTGCAGATGCTCTAAGTCTTAGCCACATCCTCCATCTTGCCCTTGGATTACACCATCAATCCAGGACCCCCTACGTTAGAGTCAACTTGTCTTTTGCCAAAACTGCCCCATAGCAGGCCCACTCATTCTGCACTCTGCTATCTTCTGTGTCACCACAAGGAGCACACTGGACATTCTTGATTTTCTCAAGAGACCGATGGGGACCGTGTTTCTTCCAATGTTCTTTTCTTATTCCTGCATCATGTTAGGGGTGGCCCTTTCTGAATGTGGATCAAATTGGAGAGGCCTCTCATCCACAGGGAATGCCTGAAGAAGGACGTCACTAACTCTGATGTCCTCTGGTTTTCCTATACCTGTCTATTGTACCACTACCTCTTCTGATCCTCAATATTTGGCCCTGAGTGGAGCCTATATAGGGATGCTAACTTGTGACCTTTTCACCCAACCTGTTTTCCTCTCCAGATGTCCTATGTGAAAGCCTTTCTTCTCTTCCTAACTGGTGGAGGCTTCCAAGCCTTATATTCTATGTTTCCTCCACTTATAATAGAACTCGTATTTAGTGCTCTAAGCCTGGCTTTTAATACATAAAGAGAATTGTTTGCTTTATTTGTTCATGTTTTGTTTGTTTAGAAATATCTTTTCACCGGCCAGGTGCAATGGCTCACTCCTGTAATTCCAGCACCTAAGGAAAACAAGGTGGGTGGATTGATTGAGCCCAGGAGTTTGAGATCAGCCTGGGCAACATGGCAAAACCTCGTCTCTATAAAAAAAAAAAAATACAAAAACTAGCTGGGCGTGGTGATGTGTGCCTGTCGTCCCAGCTACTTAGGAGGCTGAAGTGGAAGAATCGATTGACCCCAGTAAGTCAAGGCTGCAGTGAACCATGATGGTGCCCCTACACTCCAGCATGTTTGACAGAGCAAGACCCTGTCTCAAAAAACAGAAACATATTTTCACACTTAGTGAATTCTTGCCATCAGATTAGTGTTTTTCCAGAGGCCCCTAAAAAGTCAGTTATGAACCTGCAAGCTGATTGACTCCTTTGTTCTAGATGGAATCTGCCCTCCCCTGTCCCTGAAGGGAGACAGCTTCTAGGCAACAAGATTCACAATTGATGAAAGTAATCTGAAGATATTTCAAGTGTAATAAGGTCAAAAATTTAATAACTACCATTGAGATGTGCAAAATATGCAGGGGTTTTTTGTTTTCTATAACTAATCCAATGTTGTTCCTGGGTACCCATCCCTGTGAGCAATTAAGGAAGACAGGGATAAGGTAAACTAGCCAATTTAAAGTAGCTCATTCTCTTCTGATTTCAAATTTTCTCTTTCAGTTTAAAATATTTCATTTATCTCTTTTCCCTATTCCTCCTCCCAAAATGCAACCTCTGGATTTAGTGGAATGCTTACATGTTCTCAAGCAGTAGAACTCAAGTGGGAAATCATTCCAGATGTTTCCACATCAAAATGAGACAATCAGCCAGACATGGTGGCTCATGCCTGTAATCCCGACACTTTGGGAGGCCAAGGAGGGAGGACCACTTGAACCAGGAGTGTGAGACCAGCCCTGGCAACATAGGGAGACCCCATCTCTACAAAAACTAAAATAAAATTAGCCAGATGTGGTGGTGCATGCCTAAAGGCCCAGCTACACAGGAGTCTGGGCCTTTCACTCTGGGTGACAGAGTGAGACCCCACCTGGAAAAAAAAAAATGAAACAACCTCTTCAGAGTGAAAACAACAGAAGGAATTTGCCAAGTAAATAGATAGCCAGAGATGGTGCTCAGCTTCTATAGGATCCAGAAGTTTCTGTGTGCCCTGGGTAAAGATGCAGAAGATAGTTGATTAGCAGGATTGTCAATGCATCACTACAGAAGAGGCAGAGCAAAAAATGTGGTTGAGAACCTGTGGGCACATGGCCCAAGACAGAAGTCAGTTGGAAGGCACAGCCCCATCTTAGAGGACCAGAAAAGGCTACTCACATGGAAGCTGGCTAACCTCCTTATCAGTAATACCCAGACTGAGAAGGTGGACCAGGAGTTTCACTAGAAGCAGAGCTTGATAATAGAGGACACAGAAGAGCTAGGGTAAGGTATGAGGACCCTCTCACATCTGAGCCTTATGGTTCCCCTCACCAAATGATGCAGAATTTCTGTGGTCAACAATATCCAGGCACTATCTTGGGAAAGAAAAGATGTCAGAAAATTAGACAGGCTGAGCATTTACCCAAAATGGACAGTTTTAAAGAAAGGAGGCTCTTTATCTTGAAGAGAATGAGATACTCCTAATTAACAAGTTTATGTCCATTCTTCCCTGGAAGGTAGGTTCACGAAAATATTCAAATAATTTATAGAAACTAAAGATGCTACATATTTTATAAAACCTAAAGCCTAGTATATAAATATCAAAGCCATTTCACATTTTTCAAATTTATTAGGAGTTGCAAAGTATTTGCTTATAATTTCTTTTATTTTTTCCACATCTATTGTTTATCCTTCTTCATCCTGAGTTTTGTGTATTTACATTTCCTTCCTTCGTTCTTGACAGGTTAAATTAGTAGCTTTTCTATTTATAAAGTTTATTTTCAAGGAATTAGTTCTTATTTTGTATATTTATTCTATTTTTCTACTTTATTAATTGGTACTTTCATCTTTGTTTCTTTTGTTTAGATGTTAATTCAACATCTGAATTCAATATTAATTTCATTTAATTATTTTTTGTTTGATAATGAAAGTATGCATTTTTCATCTGAGTCCAGCTTTTTCACTTGGAGGATATAAAGAAAAATTGATTTCATTTCCATTCAGTCGAATCTTATTAGCACCCACTCTTGTAAATAATGTCACTTTTTTGCATTACAATAAAAAATGTGTTCTGTATTGTTTTTTATATTTTGGATTTATTTAAGGTTTCCTTTGTGACCTAACATATGGACAAAATTTGTAAATATTTAATGAGTGAGAAGAAACCGCATTCAATATCTGTTTGCTAGGAAAAGAACTAAAGAAATACATATAAATGAAAGGCTGGATGTGATGGCTCACGCCTGTAATCCCAGCACTTTGGGAGCCCGAGGCGGGCGAATCATGAGGTCAAGAGATCGAGACCATCCTGGTCAACATGATGAAACCCCGTCTCTACTAAAAATACAAAAATTAGCTGGATATGGTGGCACGCACCTGTAGTCCCAGCTACTCAGGAAGCTGAGGCAGGAGAATCGCTTCATCCCAGGAGGAGGAAGTTGCAGTGAGCCGAGAGGGCGCCACTGCACTCCAGCCTGGCGACAGAGTGAGACTCTGTCTCAAAAACAAACAAACAAAAATACAACAAGAACAACAACAAAAAAGACATACGTGTCAATTAGAGCAGTTTTATTCTATTTTTATTTCTCTATGGCTTTATTTTTTTTTGTCTTCTTTATCACTCAAGGATCAAGAGAGGATAAAGATTTTCATTACTATTATATTTTCGTGTGCTTTCTTCATTTTCCTGAAAAGAATCTTTTGGCTTGACTCATGCATTTTAGTTACATCTTCATTTTGATTATATTCTTAATCATTACAAGTGTTTTTTTGCCCTGAATTCAACTTTTTTGTTAAAAGATGGGGTCTTGCTCTGGTTGCCCAGGCTACAATGCAGTGGCACGATCATAGCCTAGCTCTCTGCAGCCTTGAAACCTTGGGCTCAAGTGATCCTCCGATTTTAGGCATAAGCCACTGTGACTTTTTTGGTATCATCAAGTTTTTTTTTTTTCATTGCATTTTTTTACACTGATACTTTTTTTTTTTTTTTTTTTTTGAGACGGAGTCTCACTCTGTCGCCCAGGCTGGAGTGCAGTGATGCTATAGTGCAGTGGTGCTATCTCGGCTCACTGCAAGCTCCGCCTCCCGGGTTCACGCCATTCTCCTGCCTCAGCCTCCCAAGTAGCTGGGACTACAAGCACCCGCCACCACGCCCTGCTAATTTTTTGTATTTTTAGTAGAGATGGGGTTTCACCGTGTTAGCCAGGATGGGGCATCTCCTGACCTCGTGATTTGCCTGCCTCAGCCTCCCAAAATGCTGGGATTTCAGGCTTGAGCCACTGCGCCCGGCCAACACTGATACTTTTAATTTCACAGGATCACTTTTAAAAACTCTGTCTCCTATAAACAGCATAAAGTTGTTTTTTATGCTACTTTTTTATACTACTAAAAAAGTCTACTTTTTACTTGATTTAAGTGAAATCATCTACTAGAGGAAAAGTAGAAGATTTCACTCCTTTTAAATTATGCATGTGTATATGTGTGGTTATAGAGAGAGAATACATCTTAACTAGTATTCTTTCATGCTTCCTTGGTATTTTATTTGATTTCTAACTTTTATTATGTAGTTTCATTTATTTTGTTTGCTACCCACATCATCCTCTACCTAAGTAATTTGGAAGTTATAATTTGTTTTCTGGTTTTTGTACTATTGGTAACCTTGACATTTTTAAATTAATTCTGAAACATATATTTCTCAATCAGTTCCAGATAAAAAACAGTATAGGTTTAATACTCTCAATTTTTGGTCATGTTCTAAGATTTCATTTTATTATTGTCAAATTATTTTTGCATCGTGTAGCTTTTGTTTCAATAATCATAATAATTGCAGTCTGTTTGGGGCCTAAATATGTTTTTGCTTTACTGGACTTAATGTTGACAATTCATTGTTTATACTACATCTTCTCCAGTTATGCATGACTTCATATTTGGTTATATCCTTTGATTAGCTGGATTACAAATTCAAATAAATTTTTTCAAATAGTACAGCTCAAAGGATTTCTCTCTGTTACCATTACACTTTTAAGAAAACTCAGCCAGATGTAGAATTATTGGGTCACACCTTTCAGTCAAGTATCAATCAATACATTATTCTTCAGTGCCCACATTGTGTGAGTAATTGTGCTAGATACTAAAAATACACAAATGGTCCCTGCCCTCACAAGGATTATATTTAAAAAGCAATTTCAAGAGACTTAAATATTTCCAAGGTAGCATACAGAGTCAAAGGAATATGCAATAATTTAACCTAGTTTTGATTTAACCAAGTTTAAACAATGAGAGAGATATTCTTCAAAGAAGTGAGATTTAAGTCCAGACCTAGAGGATGAGTAGGAGTCAGTGGGTAAAGAATGAGAAGAAGAATGATAGAAAAGCAGACAAATGGTTTCATTTGGACAAAGGGCTTGAGGGAAAAACAGGAGAGCTCTTCTGAGATGAAGCAATGAGGAGCACATAATATGTAGAGAATTTAACATTTAAAAACCTACTAAAGGCATGGCACAGTGGCTAACACCTATAATACCAGCACTTTAGGAGGCCAAGGTGGGTGGATAGCCTGGGGTCAGGAGTTCAAGACCAGACTGACCAACATGGTGAAACCCTGTCTCTACTAAAAATACAAAAATTAGCTGGGTGTGGTGGAGCGCACCTGTGGTTTCAGCTACTCCGGAGGCTGAGGTGGGAGGACCACTCAAGCCTGGGAGGTGGAGGTTGCAGTGAACCGAGATTGCACCACTACACTCCAAACTGTGTGACAGAGTAAGACCCTGTCTCAAAAAAAAAAAACCTACTTAAAATTAGGCTACTCTTTATTAGCAGCATGGGTCAACCATCCTAAACAAGATCAGTGATAAAATACTTCTCCCCAGACTTCTAGTTCTAGATAGGACATGTAAAGAGCTTGAAAGTTGTCACTTCTGGAGTTAAAACAAGGAAAAGCTAGAGAAACTGAAAATCAATTATTTTTCTTGAATTGATGTGGGGCTCAGAAAATGATATTCCAAAGTATGGTGCTTTGGTGTGCTGAGCACTTATGAACTAAAGAAAATTAAAAGACCTTAGACTAGAGCCTCAGAACCAAGGACTTTCTAGCCTTCTCCTGTTCCTCCTCCTAAGCACAGAGTGAAATTGTCTTCCTTAGGTTCATTTATCTGAAGCTCCTCCAGAAAAACACAGTTACCCTCCACCCCCTACCTGAAATTTCATTATCTACCATATAGTAGACTGAGGAATGTAACCACACCTGGACAGACGTTATGACAAAATATTTTCTGTCTCTCATTCAAATTCCAAAGAAACAATTGCAAGCTAATTTCCATCTCCTGGGTCCAGTCATCCTCCCTAAAATTATTTATCACCCTTCAAAAATTGTCTTTCAAAGCCATCTTCCTCTTCCCCAATTTTCTTTCCCCTATGAAGAGGGTATATCAGCTTCAGCCATCTGGCCCTTCTTTGTGTAAAAAGAAGTAATTCAAAATCAAAGCTGAACTACTTACATGACAAGGGATTAATAACCAGAATATATAAGGAGCTCAAACCACTCTACAGGGAAAAAAAATCTAATAACCCAGCTTTAAAAATGGGTCAAAGATCTGAATAAACACTTCTCAAAAGAAGAAATACAAATGGCAAACAGGCATATTAAAAGGTGTTCAACATCATTGATCATCAGAGAACTGCAAATCAAAACTACAATGAGATATCCTCTCACCTTAGTTAAAATGGCTTTTATCCAAAAGACAGGCAATAACGAATGCTGGCAAAGATGTGGAGAAAAGGGAACCCTCCTTGTACACTGTTGGGGGGAACATAAACTAGTGCAACCACTATCAAGAACAGTTTGGAGGTTCCTCAAAAAACTAAAATAGAGCTACTATATGACCCAGCAAACCCAGTGCTGGGTATATATCCAAAAGAAAGAAAATCTGTATTTCAAAGAGATATCTGCACTCCTATGTTTGTTGCAGCACTGTTTACAATAGCTAAGATTTGGAAGCAACCTAAGTGTTCATCAACAAACGAATAAAGAAAATGTGGTACATATACAGATGGAGTACTATTCAGCCATAAAAACAAGAATGAGATCCTGTCATTTGCAACAACATGGATAGAACTGGAGATCATTATGTTAAGTGAAATAAGCCAGGCACAGAAAGACAATCATTGCATGTTCTCACTTATTTGTGGAATCTAAAAATGAAAACAATTGAACTCAGGGTCATAGAGAGTAGAAGGATGGTTGCCAGAGTCTGGGAAGGGTGGGAAGGTTTGGGAAAGAAGTAGAGATGGTTAATGGATACACAAAATAGAAAGAATGAATAAGACCTACTATTTGATAACACCACAGGGTGACTATAGTCATAATAACTTAATTGTACATTTAAAAATAACAGAGTATAATTGGATTGTTTGTAACACAAATCATAAATGCTTGATGGAATGGGTACTCCATTCTTTATGATCTGATTATTTCACATTGCATGCCTGTTTCAAAACTCATGTACCACAGAAATATATACACCTACCATGTACCCACAAAAAATAAATATTAAAAATAAATGAAACAAAGAAAGAAAATCAAAGCTATTGGAACTTTACATGATTTTGAGTCTTAAAGGAATGTGATTATGAGACCTGAGTCATATGACAGGCGATTGTAATCTAAGCAGCTGTAACCTAGGCAGCTATAACCTTTGTTCTTCTGATTATAGATATACATCTCTTACACAAAGTCCTTATGACTATCACATTGCCTAAAATAAAATGTTAAAGATACCCTTCTACGTTGGAAAGGAAAATAAAACAAGCTAAAGCAAATTAAATTACTGTAACTCATAAACTAGCCTTGTATGGAAAATGCTGTCATTCTGTTCAATTTTTTGCTCTCTGCCTATAGAAGCAATGCTTTAACTTTTCAGCTTCTTAGTGCTGATCCCATTTATTTGGCTTCTGTGTTACTGAGATGTCCATTCACAGCATTATGTTTGAAGAAAATCTTTTAAACTAGATTCTCATCCTTTCAATTATTTCTTATTGACATATGGCTCCTGTGCTTCTGCACATTACTAAATTTGTATGCCTTTTCTCTTGCTAATCTGTCCATTATTAGTTCATTTCAGTGAACCTTCAGAGAGTAGAGGGAAAGCCTTCCTTTTTCATCCCTACACAGGACAAATCACAACCCAAAAATGTGGAGAGAGACACAGCTGAAATCTGCACATCTAAATAAGCAGAAGCTGCTGGAGCCATAACATAGTAGAAACATTTAAATGCTTATTTGGGTGAAATGCCAGAGTCTGAGTGTGGACTGGCACAAGAATGAGAGGCTCCTGAGGGCCACAATGTTGGAGGGATCCTCATATTTTTATAAGTTTTGGCTCTAGAAATCTTACCACATTCTCATAGTAAACGCACAGGAAAGATCCCCTGTGGCTCTAGCAGGATGGAGGGAAGAGGGGAGACTAATCATATAATCCAGAACATTCTCCAGAAAAAGGCCTAGTCTCCAGGGAAAAAGACTTCCAGAGACTTATCCTATCCATGACAACTCCAGTCCCATTCACTCTTGCTAGCTCATGTAAGGGTGGAAAAAAGCTAAGAGACATTTGTGAAAGTCATGGTCCAGGGACATCATTATACAAAAGACTGAAATTTAATTATAAGATTATAGAAATTCTTCTTCCCATCACTTCTCAGCCTTTTGGCTAAGATCAAGTGTAGAAATTCTTCTTCCCCATGCGTTATACCACACTCACAGGGCTCCAGTGTGATCACAGTGAATCACAATTGAAAGAGATCCAAGGCCAAGACTTTTTCTGAGGAGACTACAGGAAAGTCCAGAGAAAACAGGGAAGATTAAAACAGGGACATAGAATTTGAAGCTTCTAGAATCTATAACTACAACAAATATTAAGTACACCCCAACTGCTAGCCAGATTAACAGAAACGCTCATACTAAAGACCTTCTACCTCATTTCCTATCGCCTGAAACATAACATTTAATTTCAGCAAAAAATTACAGGGCATACCAAACAAGAAAGAAGAAAAAACAATCTGAGGAGACCGTAGGAGCTAAAGGAAAGCTTCTCTTCCATTCTGTCTGAAGTTTTACTGAAATAAACTAACAATAAACAATAACATGAAAAAAGTACAAATTTATTAACATGCATAAGTGTGGGAGCCATACAAAATATGAGACTCAAAGTAGAACCAGATGATTGAAGCTTAAATAACATCTTTATGCGGGGGAGAGAAGTTAGGGGTTGTAGGCAGTTTTACAGGAATTGTAAATAATTTTTAGAGGAAATGAATGAGCCCAAAGAACAGTCAGTTGTTTGTAAATGATTCTCTTTGCACAATAAATGGAAACTAAGGACAAGCAATATCTTGTGGACTAGATACACAAAAATGAGGGGCAGAACTGCACTATGAACAAAGGTTGTCTGATTGTGCAGATACAGTCTCACAGGTAATTTCTCAGCGCTCCCCTCAGAAAAATAGATGAAAAATCTTTCTGGATGTGTTCTCTTCTCTTCTTCTTAGTTAATCTTTTGCTATTATTTAATGAGATGTCTAGGGAGAGAGTCTTAAAACAATTACACTTCTTTTGGAAAGAAGTTTCCTCAGTCAGATAAAGAAATTCCAGATTGAGCTCCTCCCTGCACTGAGTGGTGGGTATAGGAAACAAAAGAAGGTTATAAAGTTTTTGGTTCTGAGGTAGCCTCTAAGACTGTCTAATTTTCTTTAATTCAAAAATGCTCAGCATACTGAGCACCATACTTTTGGGTATGATTTTCTGGACCAAACAAGACAAAGCAAGCAATGGAACCACACTCAGATATAATACAAATTTTGAAATTCTCAGACAGGCAATTTAAAATAATTATATATGCTAAAGACATACATAATTATATGTCTGATGGAAAAACTAGACAACCTGAAGGAACATATGGGTAATGTAAGCAAAGTGATAGAAACTGTAAGAATCAAAAGGAAACGCTAGAAATCAAAGACACTGTAACAGAAATGAAGAATGCTTTTGATGGGCTGATTAATCTGGACATAGCTGAGGAAATAATCAGTGAACTTGAAAATAGGTCAATGAAAACGTCCCAAACAAAAATGCAAAGAGATAAAGAATGAAAAGAAACCCAGAACATCCAAACTGTGAGACAATTTCAAGAAGTGTAAAATATGTGTAATTGGAATACCAAAGGGAAAAGAAAGATAAAGTGAATCAAAAGAAATATTTGAAGTAGTAATGGCCAAGAATTTTTCAAATATAGTGACAAACACTAAAGCACAGTCAGAAAGCTCAGAGAACACCAAGCAGGATACTTTTAAAACTACACCTAGGTATACCATATTTAAGCTGAAGAAAAACAAAGACAAAAGGAAACATCTTGAAAGAAAACAGATTTAAAAATAAAACCTTATTTATAGAGAAAGAAACATAAAAATTAAAGTAGACTGCTCATCAAAAATCATGCAAGCAAGAAGAAAGTGGAAGGAAATATTTAAAGTGTTGAAAGAAAAAAAACCAACAATCTCGAACTCTATATCCAGTAAAATTATCAGTAAAAAGGAAAGAGAAATAAAAGTTTTCTTAGACAAACAAAAACTGAGGTAATTTATCACCACCCAACCTGCCCTGCAAGAAATGTTTTTAAAAATTATTTAGGAAGAAGAAAAATGGTATAGGTCAGAAACTTAGATCACATAAACAAAAGAATAGCATCAGAGAAGAAATAAATGAAGGTGAGATAAAATATTTTGTTTTACTTGTTTGTTAATTACTCTAAGAGATAACTTTGTTAAAAGTGATAGTAACAATGTATTGGGTAATTACTACACATAATAGAAAAGTAAAATAAATGGCAGTGATGTCATAAGAAATGAGAGAAAAAAATTAGGAATACAGTAGTCCCTCACATCTCCATTCAAGGTTTCGCTTTTTGCAGTTTCACTTACCTCAGTCAACTGCTGTACAAAAATATTAAATAAAAAATTCCAGAAATAAACAATTTATATGACTTAAATTGCATGTCATTCTGAGAAGCATGATGAAATCTTGCACCACCCTGCTGCTTCTCACTTGGGAAGTGAATCATCCCTTTGCCCAGTGTATCCATGCTGTATACACGAGCCACTTGTTAGTCATTGTCTGCTCCTGACATTCAACCATTAACATCAGTATGGCTCAATGATGCAGAATCATCCACACCAGGTATTATCCTCCTCCTCCTTCTGATGTATTGTCAGAAGGTCAATTGTAGCCTAATGCTACAAAGCCTATGTCATCCATCTCACTTCATCTCATCACATAGGTATTTTATCATCTCACATTTTCATCACAAGAAGAAGCATGAGTAAAATACACTAAGATATTTTGAGAAAAAGAAAGAGCACATTCATCTAACTTTTATTACAGCATATTGTTATAATTGCTCTATTTTATTGTTAGCTATAGTTTTTAATCTCTTACTGTGCCTACTTTATAAATAAAATTTTATCATAGGTATGCTTGTATAGAAAATAACATGGTATATATAGGATTCAGTACTATCTGCAGTTTCATGTATCTGCTGAGGGTCTTGAAATGTAGCCTCCACGAATAAGGAGAAACAATTGTATTGTTATAAGGTGCCTGCACTATATGTGAAGTGGCATAGTATTGTTCAAAATGGACTTAGATTACCTAATAATGTATATTGCAAATTCTAGGGCCACCACTAAAAAAATTAAAAAGAAGTATAATTGACATGCTAAGAGATAAAATGGAATAATATAAAATAGTCAACCAGAACTAGAGAAAGCAGAACTAGAAGAGGTAAGAAATAAAAAACAAATGCAACAAATAGAAAATGTAAACACAGGAAAGATAATTAATTCAACTATATCAATAATCACTTGTGTGAATTATATAAATACACCAATTGAAGACAGAGACTATCAGAGTGGATAAATAAACAAGACCCAATCATATGTTGTCTACAAGATATTAAATTTAAAGGGTCAGGTAAACATAAAAGGATGGAGAAGAGTACACCATGCCAGTAGTCATCAAAAAAAAAAAAAAAAAAAAGCTGGAGTAGCTACATTAATTTTGGACAAAGCACAGAACAAGAAAAATTATCACAGATAAAGAGAGACATTACATAATAATAAAGAGGATAATTTTCCAAGAAGACATAATCCTAAACATATACAAACCTACAACACAGCATCAAAAAAATAAGAGGTAAAAGTGGATAGATGTAAAAAGAGAAATAGACAAATACACTATCACAGCTGTAAACTTCAATACATCTCTTTTGATGATTGACAGATTAAGCAGACAGAAAGTCAGTAAAGATATAACTAACCTGAACAGCACTATTGATCAACTTGATCTAACTGACATTTGTAGAATAATCTACCCCAAAACAGAATAATGCACAGTCTTCTCAAGTTTACATGTAACATTAACTAAAATAGAAAACAATCTTGGCCATAAAACACACCTTAACAAATATAAAAGAATAGAAATCATGCAAAGTATATTCTCAAACCACATTGGAATTAAACTGTAAGTCAATATTAGAAAGATAACTGGATGATCCCCAAATACTTGGAGATCAAACAATATACTTCTAAGTAACACAGAGATCAAAGAAGAATTCTCAAGAAAAAATTTAAAATATTTTTAACTAAATGGAAATTAAAATACAACTTATTAAAATTCTTAGTATACTGCAAAAACAGTGCTTAGAAGGAAATATATAGTACTAATGCATATATTAGAAAAGAAGAAAGATCCAGAATTGATAACCTAAGTTTCCACTTCAGGAAACTAGAGTAAGGAGAGCAATTTATGCCTAAAGCAAGCAGAGTAAAAGAAATAATAAAAGAGCAAAAATTAATAAAATTAAAAATGGGAGAACAATAGAGAAAATCAACAAAACCAAGGGCTGGTTCTTTGAAAAGATCAATAAAAATGATCAATCTCTAGCTAGGCTCACCAGGAAAAGAAGATAGAAAAAATAAGTTATGAGTATTAAATATCAAAGAAAGATCATCACTATCAATCCCCTAAACATTTAAAAACTTCTAAAGAAATAGTATGAAAAAAGAGAAATAGTATGAACAACTCTATGCTTGTAAATATTTTTTATTTTTATTTTAGAGATGGGGTCTTGTTTTGTTGGCTAGGTTGGTCTTGAACTCTTGGCCTCAAGCAATCCTCCTGCCTCAGCCTCCCAAAGTGCTAGGATTATAAGCATGAGCCACCGTGCCCAGCTAATGCTTGTAAATTTGATAACTTAGATGAAATAAATCAATCCATTTAAAGACACCCACTACCAAAAATTGCATAAGAAAAGTTAGATAATTGGAATAGGTCTATGTATACCAAATAAATTAAATCAGTAATTAGTAACCTTTCAAATAAGAAAGCACTGGGCCCAGATGTTTTCACTTGTGAATTCTACCCAACAATTAAGAAAGGAAGAAATTGAAAGAGTCGGGATGATCAGGGAATCATCCAATTCTCTACAATCTCTTCTGGAAAATTCAAGTGGTGGAAATTTTCTAGCTCATTCTGTAAGGCCAGTATTACCCTAATACCAAAACCAGATAGACATTACAAGAAAGGAAAACTACACACACATACCTCTCATTAACACAAACACAAAAATTTCAACAAAATATTAGGAAATTTAATTCAATAGTGTATATAAAGAATTACATACTAAAACCAATGACTTATTCCAGGTAGGCAAGGCTGGCTCATCATTGAAAACTAAAAAAATGTAATCTATGATATCAGTAGCTAAAGAAGAAAATTAATATAACTTTAGCATTTGATCCAGAGAAAGCACTTGACAAAATCCAATACCCATTTACAATTTTTAAAACTCTCAACAAATTCACAATAAATGGGAACTTCCTTAATTTTATAAGTAATATCTACAAAAGACACTTAAAATTATAGGTCTCTATGAAGTTTGGTGAGGTCCTCAAAAAAAAAGAAAAAATTACAGGTCAGGCATGGTGACTCACTCCTGTAATGCTAGCACTTTGGGAAGCTGAGGTAGAAGGATTATTTGAGGCCAGGAATTCAAGACCAGCCTGGGCAACAAAGTGAGACCCCCTTCTCTACAGAAAAATTTCAAAATTAGCCAGGCACGAAGGCGTGTGCCTATGGTCCCAGCTACATGGGAGGCTGAGGCTGGAGGAGCATTTAAGCCCAAGAGGTCGAGGCTGTATGAACTATGTTCATGCCACTGCATTCCAGCCTGGCCAACAGAGTGGGACCCTGTCTTAAAAATAAAAATAAAAAAATATGCTGAAAGGTGAAAAACTGAATGTTTTTACCCTCAGATCAGGAGCAAGGCATGAAGGCATGAATGTCCTATCTCACCATCATATCGGAGATGTACCTATTTGACATTGTATGGCAGGACCAACCGACTACAATATGACAAGAAAATGAGATAAAATACATACAGATTGTAAAGGAAGAAATAGAAAACTCTGTCTTTTTTTTTGCAAATGACATAATTGCAGATATAGAGAATCCCAAAGAACACACACACACACACACACACACACACACACACACACACTACTTCTGGAACTAATAAGTGATTATAGCAAGGTTTCAAGATACAAGGTTAACATATAAAATTAAAATGTATAAAATTAAAATTAATATATATAATTGCTGTCCTGTATACCAGAAATGAACAATAGGAATTAAAAATTTTTTTAACCATTTGAAATAATTACAACAAAATTGAAATACTTGGGTGTAAGTGTAACAATTTATGTAATTTATGTGCAGTCTATATGTGGAAATTACAAAATTCTGTGAAAAAAAATTAAAGGTGACCGAAAAGAGTTTGAAAAAAAAACCTTTAACAAAAAAACACAAAAAGTCTAACTTAATGGAGAAATATTCTATGTTCATATATTAAAAGACTCAAAATTGTTAAGATTTCTCCTAACATGATCTATAGATTCAGTGTAATTTCAATCAAAATTCCTGCAATCTATATTGTAGATATTGATGAAATGATTCTAACTTTTTTTTAAAGTCTTTCTTTTTTTTTTTTTTTTTTTTTGAGATGAAGTCTCACTCTGTCGCCCAGGCTGGAGTGCAGTGGCGCAATCTCGGCTCACTGCAAGCTCCGCCTCCTGGCATTCTCCTGCCTCAGCCTCCCAAGTAGCTGGGACTACAGACGCCCGCCACCACACCCGGCTAACTTTTTGTACTTTTAGTAGAGACAGGGTTTCACTGTGTTAGCCAGGATGGTCTCCATCTCCTGACCTCGTGATCTGCCCGCCTCTGCCTCCCAAAGTGCTGGGATTACAGGCGTAAGCCACCGTGCCCGGCCATGATTCTAACATTTATACGAAATGACAAACAAACCTATAACAGCAAAGACAATACTGAAGAAGAACAAAGTTGGAGGATGCACACTCTCTGATTTCAAGTCATTCTACAAAGTGACTAGTAACCAAAACAGTGTGATATTGGGGAAAAAAAAAAAAATAGACACATAGATCAATGGAACAGAAACAACAGAGCCCAGAAATATGCCCACACAAATATCATCAACTGATATTTGACAAAAGAGTAAAGGCAATCGAATAGAGAAGTCTTTTTAACAAATGGTGCTGCAACAATTTAATGTCCACATGTAAAAATAATAAACCTAGACACAGACCTTACACCTTACATAAAAATTAACTCAAAATGGATCATAAAATGTAAAACACAAAACTATATAACTCCTAGAAGTTAATATAGGAGAAAATATAGGTGACCTTTGGTTTGGCAATGAAATTTTTGATAAAACACCAAAAGAATGGTCCATTTAAAAAGTTGATGCATTGGACTTCATTAAAATTTAAAACTACTGCTCCATGAAAGACACTGTTAAGGGGCTAAAAAGATAAGTTAAAGACAGGAAAAATATTTGCAAAAACACATTTCTAAGAAAAGATTTGTATTCATAATATATGAAGAACTCCTAAATGCAACAATAAGAAAACAACTGTATTTTTTAATGGGCAAAAGATCTAAACAGACCCCTCTCCAAAGAAGGTACAGAGGCTGGGCGTGGTGGCTCAGGCCCGTAATCCCAACACTTTGAGAGGCTGAGGGGGGTGGATCACCTGAGGTCAGGAGTTCTAGACCAGCCTGGCCAACATGGCAAAATCCCATCTCTACTAAAAATACAAAAATTAGCCAGGCAGGATGGCAGATGCCTGTAATCCCAGCTACTCAGGAGGCTGAGGCAGGGAAAAATGCTTGAACCCGGGAGGCAGAGGTTGCAATGAGCCGAGATCATGCCACTGCACTCCAGCCTGGACAACAGAGCAAGGCTCTGTCTCAAAAATAAATAAATGAATAAATAAATAAATGAATAAATAAATAAATAAATAAATAAATAAATGAAAAAATTAAAATACTTCTGTTCTAGGATCCTTTCCAGAATACATTATGTTTAATCATCATGTTTCCTTAGGATCTTTTGGATGTGACAGTTTCTCAGACTTTCCTAGTTTTGGTGACCTTTACAGCTTTGAGAAGTACTGGTCAGTTATTGTAAAGAATGTTCCTCAACTGGAATTTGTTTGATGTTTTTCTTATGATTAGACAGGGTTTATGGGTTTTTGGGAGCAAGACCATAGAGGTAAAGTCACATTATATCAAAGACACTTGCTAGCAATATGACTTGGGTGTTGAGACTTTGATCACCTGGCTGAGGTAGTGTTTGTAAGGTTTCTACACTGTAAGTTTTCTTCTCCCCATCACCCCTCTTCCCATACTGTATTCTTTGGAAAGAAATTACTACGCCCAGTCCACACTTAAGGAGTGAGGAATCATGTTTCACCTCCATGAGGTGGGAGACTTTAACACCCCACTGTCAATATTAGACAGATCAAAGAGACAGAAAATTAACAAGGATATCCAGGACTTGAACTCAGCTCTGGACCAAGCAGACCTAATAGACATCTACAGAACTCTCCACCCCAAATCAACAGAATATACATTCTTCTCAGCACCACATTGCACTTATTCTAAAATTGACCACATAATTGGAAGTAAAACACTCCTCAGCAAATGTAAAAGAAAGGAAATCATAACAAACAGCCTCTCAGACCATAGTGCAATCAAATTAGAACTCAGTATTAAGAAACTCACTCAAAACCACACAACTACATGGAAACTGAACAACCTGCTCCTGAACAACTACTGGGTAAATAATGAAATGAAGGCAAAACTAAATAAGTTCTTTGAAACCAATGAGAACAAAGACACAACATACCAGAATCTCTGGGACACAGCTAAAGCAATGTTTAGAGGGAAATTTATAGCACTAAAAGCCCACAGGAGAAAGAGGGAAAGATCTAAAATAGATACCCTAACATCACAATTAAAAGAACTAGAGAAGCAAGAGCCAACAAATTCAAAAGCTAGCAGAAGACAAGAAATAACTAAGATGAGAGCAGAACTGAAGGAGATAGAGACATGAAAACCCCTCAAAAAATAAATAAATCCAGGAGCTGGTTTTTTGAAAAGATCAACAAAATAGACCACTGCCAGACTAATAAAGAAGAAAAGAGAGGGCCGGGCGAGATGGCTTATGCCTGTAATCCCAGCACTTTGGGAGGCCGAGGTGGGCAGATCACGAGGTCAGGAGATTAAGACCATCCTGACTAACACGGTGAAACCCCGTCTGTACTAATAATACAAAAAATTAGCAGAGCGTGGTGGTGGGCACCTGTAGTCCCAGCTACTCGGGAGGCTGAGGCAGGAGAATGGCGTGAACCCAGGAGGCGGAGCTTGCAGTGAGCCAAGATCGTGCCACCGCACTCCAGCCTGAGTGACAGAGCGAGACTTCGTCTCAACAAAAAAAAAAAAAAAAAGAAGAAGAAAAGAGAGAAGAATCAAATAGATCCAATAAAAAATGATAAAGGGGATATCACCACTAATCCCAGAGAGATACAAACTACCATCAGAGAATACTATAAACACCTCTACTCAAATAAACTAGAAAATCTAGAAGAAATGGACAAGTTCCTGGACACATCCACCCTCCCAAGACTAAACCAGGAAGAAGTCAAATCCCTGAATAGACAAATAACAAGTTCTGAAATTGGGGCAGCAATTAATAGCTTACCAACCAAAAAAAATCCAGAACCAGACGATTCATAGTCAAATTCCACCAGAGTTACAAAGAGGAGCTGGTATCATTCCTTCTGAAACTATTCCAAACAATAGAAAAAGAGGGACTCCTCCCTAACTCATTTTATGAGGCCAGCATCATCCTGATACCAAAAGCTGGCAGAGACACAACAAAAAAAAAGAGAATTTCAGGCCAATATCCCTGATGAACATCAATGTGAAAATCCTCAATGAAATACTGGCAAACCAAATCCAGCAGCACATCAAAAAGCTTATCCACCACGATCAAGTCGGCTTCATCCCTGGGATGCAAGGCGGGTTCAACATATGCAAATCAATAAACGTAATCCATCACATAAACAGAACCAATGACAAAAACCACATGATTATCTCAATAGATGCAGAAAAAGCCTTCAACAAAGTTCAACAGCCCTTCATCCTAAAAACTCTCAATAAACTAGATATTGATGGAACGTATCTCAAAATAATAAGAACTATTTGTGACAAACCCACTGCCAATATCATACTGAATGGGCAAAAACTGGAAGTATTCCCTTTGAAAACTGGCACAAAACAAGGACGCCCTTCCTCACCACTCCTATTCAAAATAGTATTGGAAGTTCTGGCCAGGGCAATCAGGCAGGAGAAAGAAATAAAGTGTATTCAATTGGAAAAGAGGAAGTCAAACTGTCTCTGTTTGCAGATGACATGAGTGTATACTTAGAAAACCCCATCGTCTCAGCCCAAAATCTTAAGCTGATAAGCAACTTTAGCAAAGTCTCAGGATACAAAATCAACGTGCAAAAATCACAAGCATTCCTATACACCAATAACAGACAGAGAGCCAAACCATGAGTAAACTCCCATTCAAAATTGCTACAAAGAGAATAAAATACCTAGGAATTCAACTTACAAGGGATGTGAAGGACCTCTTCAAGGAGAACTACAAACCACTGCTCAACAAAATAATAGAGGACACAAACAAATGGAAAATCATTCCGTGATCATGGATAGGAAGAATCAATATCGTGAAAATGGCCATACTGCCCGAAGAAATTTATAGATTCAATGCTATCCCCATCAAGCTACCATTGACTTTCTTCACAGAATTGGAAAAAACTACTGTAAATTTCATATGAAACCAAAAAAGAACCCACATAGCCAAGACAATCCTAAGCAAAAAGAACAAAGCTGGAGGCATCACACTACCTGACTTCAAACTATACTACAAGGCTACAGTAACCAAAACAGCATGGTACTGGTACCAAAACAGAGAGATAGACCAATGGAACAGAACAGATGCCTCAGAAATAACACCACACAGCTATGACCATCTGATCTTTTGCAAACCTGACAAAAACAAGAAATGGGGAAAGGATTCCCTATTTAATAAATGGTGCTGGGAAAACTGGCTAGCCATATGTAGAAAGCTGAAACTGGATCCCTTGCTTACGCCTTATACACAAATTAACTCTAGATGGATTAAAGACTTAAATGTTAGACCTAAAACCATAAAAACCCTAGAAGAAAACCTAGGCAATACCATTCAGGAAAGAGGCATGGGCAAAGACTTCATGATGAAAACACCGAAAGCAATGGCAACAAAGCTAAAATACAAAAATGGAATCTAATTAAACTAAAGGGCTTCTTCACAGCAAAGAAACTATCATCAGAGAGAAAAGGCAACCTACAGAATGGGAGAAAATTTTCGCAATCTATCCATCTGACAAAGGGCTAATATCCAGAATCTACAAAGAACTTAAACAAATTTACAAGAAAAAAACAAACAACCCCATCAAAAAGTGGGCAAAGGATATGAACAGCCACTTCTCAAAAGAAGACATTTATGCAGCCGACATATGAAAAAATGCTCATCATCACTGGTCATCAGAGAAATGCAAATCAAAACCACAATGAGATACCATCTCACACTAGTTTAGAATGGTGATCACTAAAATCGCAGGAAACAACAAGTGCTGGAGAGGATGTGGAGAAATAGGAATGCTTTTACACTGTTGGTGGGACTGTAAACTAGTTCAACCATTGTGGAAGTCAGTGTGGCGATTCCTCAGGGATCTAGAACCAGAAATACCATTTGACCCAACAATCCCATTACTGGTTATATACCCAAAGGATTATAAATCATTCTACTGTAAAGACACATGCACATGTATGTTTATTGTGGCACTATTCACAATAGCAAAGACTTGGAACCAACCCAAATGCCCATCAATGATAGACTGGATAAAGAAAATGTGGCACATATACACCATGGAATACTATGCAGCCATAAAAAAGGATGAGTTCATGTCCTTTGCAGGGACATGGATGATGCTGGAAACCATCATTCTCAGGAAACTATCACAAGAACAGAAAACCAAACACCACATGTTCTCAGTCATAAGTGGGAGTTGAATAATGAGAACACATGGATACAGGGAGGGGGACATCACACACCAGGGACTGTCAGGGGGTGGGGCACTAGGGGAGGGATGGCATTAGGAGAAATACCTAATGTAGATGACAGGTTGATGGGTGCAGCAAACCACCATGGCAAGTGTATACCTATGTAACAAACATGAAAGTTCTGCACATGTACCCCAGAACTTAAAGTATAATTTAAAAAGAAAAAGAAAAAAAAAAAGAAATACCTCAGACTGGCTTTCTGATCAGTTGTTTTCCTGCACAGGCAGGCCATAGGCAGCCATGGTGCCCAGCCATAATGGCATGATCTCGAAGCCCCACTTCCGCAAGGACTGCTAGCAATGTGTGGCCAAGTGGTTCAACCAGCTGGCCCATTAGATCCGCAGACGCAAGGCCCAGCAAGCAAAAGCACACCGCACTGCCCCATACCCCGAGTCAGGACCCATCCAGCCCATCATGTAGTGCCACACTATACACTATCACACCAAGGTGTGCATCAGCCGCACTTCAGCTTAGAGGAGCTCAAGGTGGCAGGCATTCACAAGAATGTGGCCCAAACCACTGGCATCTCTATTGATTGGAGGAGGCGGAACAAGTCCACTGAGTCCCTGCAGGGCAATGTGCAGCGGCTGAAGGAGTACAATTCCAAGCTCATCCTCTTCCCCAGGAAGCCCTTGGCCCCTAAGAAGGGAGACAGTTCTGTTGAAGAACTGATATTGGCCATCCAGCTGACAGGACCAGTCATGCCCATCCAGAAGGTCTATAAAAAGGAGAAAGCCCTAGTCATCACTGAGGAGGAGAAGAATTTCAAAGCCTTCGCGCATCTCCTCATGGCCTGTGCCATTGCCCAGCTCTTTGGCATAAAAGCAAAAAGAGCCAAGGAAGCTGTAGAACAGGATGTTGAAAAGAAAAAAATAAAGCCCTCTTAGGGATTTGTAATAAGTCAGCAGTAATGCTGCGGGAGGAAAAAAAAAAAAAAGACATATCTGAGACTGGGTAATTTATAAGGAAAAGAGGTTTAATTGGCTCATGGTTCCACAGACTGTACAGGAAGCATGGCTGGGGAGGCCTCAGGAAACTCCCAATCATAGCAGAAGGTGAAGGGGAAGCAGGCATATCTTACACGGCTGGAGCAGGAAAAAGAGAGAAGGGGGAGGTGCTACACACTGTTAAACAACCAGATCTCATGAGAACTCACTATCATGAGAACAGCATGGGGCAAATCCACCCCCATGATCCAATCACCTCCCAGCAGGCCCATCCTACAACATTGGGGATTACAATTTGACATGAGATTTGGGTGGGGACACATATCCAAACCATATCACTTGGATTGGGTTTCAATGTACTCCTGTAACTCAGTGATCTTTGTTCCTATCCGTATTCTGAATACTGTTTTTGTCATTTCAGCCATCTCAGCCCAGTTCAGAACCCTTGCTGGAGAAGTGATACAGTTGTTTGGAAGAAAAAAGGCACTCTGGCTTTTTGAGTTTTCAGGGTTCTTGCACTCATTCTTTCTCATCTTTGTGGGCCTATCTACCTTCAATCTTTGAGGTTGCTGACTTTGGGATATTTTTTCCTTTTAACCTATTTGATGATTTTGGGGCTTTGATTGTGGTATAAGGTAGATTCAGCTGACTGGCTTTATTTCTGGGAAATTTTAGAAGGCCAATGCTCAGCTTCCAACTTCCGGACTGCATGCTGTATTCTGGGGGACTTGTATTGGTTCCCAACTTTGTTCTCTGGCTCCCTGAGGTTAGGAATCCACTGTGCTGTGGGTGGCACAGGAGACAAGGTACAGCAGCTGCAGCAGAGTGCTAGTGGGTGCCAGGGTGCCTGCCTTCCTGCAGGTGATCACCACAGTGGGAGAGGCAATGCAGCTGGGGAGTCAGTAGGTGTTGGGGGCCCTGCTGGCAACTGTGTGTGCAGCTGCACTGGTGGCGGTGTTAGCTCAGGTGCAAGGTGCTGGCAAATGCAGGTCTGGTTGCCTTCTCTGTGCTCTGCAAACAGGAGGGATCGCTCAGTGTTGCAGAGGATCTGCTGATCTCTCATAGTGTTAGCACGAGAGTGGGCACTGGTGGGGGAAGGGCTGGCTGGCTCTGTGCCCACCAAGGCTCTCTCTGCAATGGCAGTTGGTGGGGATGGGAGGTTGGACTGCACTCCTGCACACTGGTGGGCAAGGAAAGCAAACCTGCCTCTGCAGACATTGCCAGCAAAGTGATGTGGGGAGTTGCCATGGGCCTGGGGGGATGCTGCAGTATGGGGAGGGAGCAGGTGGGCTGGTGTGTGGCCATAGGGGCTGCCCGGCTGGAGCTGCCAGTCAGGCATGGTCTTCCAGGCACAGAAGCAATGGTGTGGGCCGCCAGGGCACTAGAGACTGCTCTGCAAGCAGGTGTAACCAGGCTGGGGCTCCTAGAGAGACCAGCAGACCAAGGGGTGCTCAGGTTGGACCAGCCCCACCTGATGGGGAAGACCACCCTGCAGAGATCATGTCTGACAGTTCCCCTAGGGCTAAAGTCTTCTATGGGAGCAAGTTGAGCCTAGGATGGCCATCCCTGGCCATGTTCCACTACAGACACTCCTGCAGTATACCCTCTGTGCTCCACACCAATGGCTTGCTGCCCCTACCCCTTCTCTAAGCAGCTCTCCCTGCCAACTCGAATGTCTGTGATGGTGAAGGGGTCTTCTCCTACAGGGGTTCCAGAGGCCCATGGCAACAGTGGGTTGTTCCTTGACAATTCAACTCACCTGATCCCCCAGAGCCATTGTGGGCCAGGAACAAAACCTGGTGTGCAGTAGTCCTGTGCCACATTCCCAGCTTTCACTACCTTCAGCCCAGCTTCTGTGTCTTCTCTCTGTCCACTCCTGGTTTCTTCCCTCTGAAGATCTGTTAGGGGCATTCCAGTCATCTTGGTCCCGCAGTGGGAGCTCTTCCACCTGGCTGTGTCTAGTCAGCCTTCTGAGTAAGATCCATTCCTGACTCCTTTTCTTTCCTATTCCTCTTCTTCCAGATAAGATAACATTCTATTAGCCAAGAGAAGTCAGCAAAAAAGGGGGGGAAAAAAACAAAATAATGAATTTGGCAAATTGAAAGCAAGTAACAAAAATGATAGACTTCAGTCCAAACATATCAATAATTTCATTAAATGTAAGAAGATACATATAGGTTAAAAAGAAAAAGATAAAGATATATCATGTAAATGGTATGCAAAAGAAAGCTGAAAGTTTTATTAATATTAGGCTTAATGGACCTCAAGACAAGAAGAATAAAGACAGAAGAGATATTTTAATAAATGGATCAATCCATGAAGAAGACTTAAAAATCCTAAAATGTAGGTAGCTTAATAACTGAGCTTAAAAAATTGATGAAGCAAAAGCTGACTGAACTAAAGAGACAAATAGACAAATTCACAGTCAAAAGTAGAGATATTGGCTGGACACAGTGGCTCACTCCTGTATTCCAGCACTTTGAAGGATGATTGGGAGGATCGCTTGAGGCCAGGAATTCAAGACCAGCTTAGGTAACATAGCAAGACTCCATCTCTACAAAAATAAAAATAAAAACTTAGCCAGATATGGCAGGCGGCACATGCCTGTAGTCCTAGCTACTTGAGAGTCTGAGGCAGTAGGATCACTTGAGCCCAGAAGGGTGAGACTGCAGCGAGTCATGATCATGCCACTGCACCCCAGTCTGGGTGACAGAGTGAGACACTGTATCTAAAAAAAAAACAAAAGTAAAAATAAAAAGAAGTGGGGATATTAATTTTCTTTTTAATAATTAGATAAAAATCAGTAAGGATATAGAAGATCTTAAAATAATTATCAACCACCCTAACCTAACTGAACTTTATAAAACAATTTACCCAACAACTGCAGAATTCACATTCTTTCTTGTGCACACAGACCATTTGCCAAGATGGACCTTATCCTGGAATGTAAAACAAGTCCCAATATATTCTAAAAGCTTGAAATTTTCCAGAGTATGTTCTCTAAAAACCAAAATTAAATCAGATATTAATAACAATTGAAGATTTTTGAAAAGCCTCAAATATTTGGAAATTAACAAACTTTTAGTAACTAGGCAAAGAAGAAATAGTAAGAAAAATTAATAAATATTTGAATCTACATAATAATAAAAATATATCAAAATTTGTTGGATAGAGCTAATGAGTACTATTAAACAAAAATTACAGGAAGCTATTGCTCTGGACTAAACTCCTCCACTAGGCCCCAACAAAGTAGAGTAAAAAATCACAACGAAGCCAGTGATCACCGAACTGAAACTGAGCTGCTCTTGTTGCTATCAGAGTTATCAGGAGAGAGAGATAGCCTAACTTCCCAAACAGGCCAGTTTTAATCTTTAATCAGCATGATAATGAAGTTCCCTCTGTTTTAATCCTACAATAAAGAATTACCCAAGTAACTTGATGTTAACCAATCAGCCATCTTTCTCTTGTTCTGACCGCTTAGCCCTTCCCTAAAAAGAAAGTAACTTTGAAATGGCCAATCCACTATTTGTTATTTGTTTCTGCTTTCTTCAGTCCTCTTATAAAGCCAACCTCTTCTGCTGTATACATGAGAGCACTTAGTCTATTTCATGGAATAAATTGTTACCTGAAATTTATCTTTGACAGTACTTAGAGGAAGTTTATCAATTGATATACAAAATGACGTACAACAAAATCAATTTTTTTCTCATCAATGTGTTAATGAAATGATGTTGAAGAAAACAATGTTTTCGGAAGATCTGCTGTACATTGTTTGCTTAAAGTTGCAGTTCCGAAGAACCTATTGACATGTTAAGTGAGGACTTACTATATCTTCAAGTTCACTAACTCTTTACTCTGCCAGACAATCTACCATTGAGTTCCTGCGGTGAATTTTATTTTTCTTCTTGAGCAGCCAGAAAAGACTTCCAGGGAATTTTTTTATTTCAGTTACTTTTCAACTCCAATATTTCCATTTGGTTCTTTACAGTTCCTATCTCTTTATTGTTATTCTCTATTTAATGTAACATTGTTATATCTTCCTTTCCTTTTTTTTTCTTTTTAAATTCAAGACAGAGTCTCACTCTGTAGCCCAGGCTGGAGTGCAGTAGGCTCAATCTCAGCTCATCTGCAACCTCTGTCTCCCAGGTTCAAGTGATTCTCATGCCTCAGCCTCCTGAGTAGCTGGGATTACAGGTGCCTGTCACCATGCCTGGCTAATTTTTGTATTTTTAGTAGAAATGGGGGTCTCACCATGTTGGCCAGGCTGGTCTCGAATTCCTGACCTCAAGTGATCCACTTACCTTTACCTCCCAAAGTGTTAGGATTACAGGCGTGAGCCACCGCACCTGGCCTATCTTCCTTTACACCTTTAATCATATTTTCCTTTAGTTCTATGAACATATTTATAATGGCTAGTTTAAAGTATTTTTCTGTTAAATCTGACATCTAGTTGCTCTTATGGGCAGTATTTGTTGCATGTATGCACTAGAATTTCCCGTTTCTTCGCACACCTCATAATTTTGTTAGCAGTGGCAAATCCATATGCAACTCAATTTTTGCCTCCTTGGAGGAAAGAATTAGACTGCGGGGCATAAGGCAGAGTGAGAGATTGAGGCAAGTTTTAGAGCAGGACTAAAGGTTTATTAAAAAGTTTTCAGAGCCAGGCATGGTAGCTCACGCCTGCAATCCCAGCACTTTGTGAGGCCGAGGCGGGCGGATCACTTGAGGTCAGGAGTTCAACACCAGCCTGGCCAACATGGTGAAACCCCATCTCTACTAAAGACATGAAATTAGCTGGGCATGGTGGCACGCACCAGTAATCTCAACTACTTGGGAGGCTGAGGCAGGAGAATTGCCTGAACCTGGGAGGTGGAAGTTGCAATGAGCCAAGATTATGCCACCGCACTCCAGCCTGGGCTACAGAAAGATACTCTGTCTCAAAACAAAACAAAACAAAAAAGTTTTCAGAGCAGGAATGAAAGGAAGTAAAGTACACTTGGAAGAGAGCCAAGCAGGCAAATTGAGAGATCCAAGTGCACTGTTCAGCCATTGACTTGGAGTTTTATACTTTGGCATGGTTTCAGAGTTTGCATTTCTTCTCCCTTGATTTTTCCCTTGAGGTGGGCTGTCCACATATGCAGTGGCCTCCCAGCATTTGAGAAGGGCTGCATGCGCAGTGTGTTTACTGAAGTTGTGTGCATACCCATTTGACATGTTTTTCCCTTACCAGTTGAGTGTTCCTAGAGGAAGGTCATATACCAGTTAAACTCCACCATTTTGCCTTTTAGTGCACATGCATGAGCCCACTTGCCTAATCCTGAGAGCTCATCAGGAAGCTGCTGATGACCAGCTTCAGGTTTTTTTTATCTATCGGGACACTGCCTTTCCCTGGCACTGGGTGTGACCAACTACTATTTTCAATAGTCAGTTTAACAAGTTCCCTACCATCATTTGATGGTCACTTGACATTCCTAAGGGTGGAGGGCCCTCTTTTGCCCTGCTCATGTTTGCCTAGCTATCTACTCTTAACAATTTTTTGTTGGAAAACAGAAATTTTTAGATAATATATTTTAGCAATGGTTATACTGCCCCACCTTCTGTTCTGGGACTTGTTATTATTTGATTTTTTTTGTGTGTAATGATTATTTGGATTATTTCAGTGAAATCTGTGCTCCTCCACCACACATATATGCACGTGCACCCCCAAAGCAACACACACACACACACACACACACACACACACACACAGTGTTAAAACTCTGATCTTGCTCTTTAGGGAGGTACAGCTTTAGGTATGCCCAACCATGACCCTGGGATGACAGTTGCTTGCTTTCTTTCTTCGACCATATCCAGCTGTTAAATTCCACTAATTGCTGTCTGATTGCTCTATTGTTTTCAACAATGTCCTGGGAGGCATAAATTGCTCTACAAACTAATCCAATCAAATGTGGCTCCTTTAAAGTAATGGTTTTTAAGGACAGTGTAATTTTTCTGACCCCAAAAAGACTCCTTCTGGCTGTTTTATTCCCAATCCCTTCCTAATTGTTTTTCACTACACCTCCACTGTTTATGCTCTTAGCCTTGAACTTCTCTAGCTGCTTTACAAATGAAGTAAATTTCCTTGGGAAGAGATTAGAAGCTATCTGTTTTATGGCTTTCCTCTCTCCCCAGGCCAAATTTCTGATTGGTGCTGGGGACAATAGCAAGCTTCTCTCTGAGTGATACCCTTGCCCTGGGAGTTGAGTGCTTGGTGAAGTGGGGGCAAGGCAGCAGCCTGAGGTCCTCTCAAGAACTATGGGGCCCCAGTATTCTCAGTGCACTGGGACCAAGGCCTGGATTGTTCTTGTCAAAGACAAAATTACAACAAATTTAGTTTAGAGATCTTAATTAGCTCTATTTGTAATTCGAGAATCAGGCAACATTTCATTTCCATTGGAAAGTCTTCCAATGAACTGAGCAGAAGAGGTTGGTTTTATAGACAGAGAAGGGCTGAAGAAAGCAGAAGTAAAGAATGACACATGTGTTATTTACCATTTTTTCTCTAGAGACAGGATCTCGCTATGTTGCCCAGGCTGGAGTACAGTGGCTACTCACAGGTGTGATCATAGTGCACTATAGGCTCAAACTCCTAGTTTAAGCAATCCTGCCTCAGCCTCCCCAGTAGCTGGAGCTACGGTCACATGCCACAGTGTCCAGCTTAGTTACTTTTTAAAGTTACTTTTTCAAGTTACTTTTTCTTATAAGGCAAGGACAGGGTGACAGAACAATTTAAAAAAAAAAAAGCAGAGAGAATGTCATTATCATATTGATTAAAGATATAAACTGGCCTACTTAGGAAATTAGCTGTTATCTCACTCTCCTGATTTCTTGGAAGGTCAGATGGCAACTTCATTGAGGTGTAATGATGTGGAACTTTAGCATGGGTGACTCTGTTTTGATTTTTAGTCTGATCTGTTGGGGCCTAGTATAGAAGCTTAGTCCAAAACAATGGTCTTCTATAATTTTTATTTGACATTCATTTTCTTTTGTTTTCCTGTTTTGGGTTTTTCTGTTTTGTTTTGTTTTGTTTTTTTGAGACAGGGTCTCACTCTGTCACCCAGACTGGAGTGCAGTGGTGTGATCTTGGCTCACTGCAACCTCTGCCTTCTGAGTTCAAGCAATTCTCCTGCCTCAGCTTCCCAAGTAGCTGGGATTACAGGCATGCGCCACTATGTCTGGGTAATTTTTGAATTTTTTGGTAGAGACGGGGTTTTGCCATGTTGGCCAGGCTGGTCTCAAACTCCTGACCTCAGGTGATCGGCCCACCTCTGTCTCTCAAAGTGCTGGGATTATAGGTGTGAGCTGCCGTGCCTGGCCTTTATTTGACATTCTTAACTCACACAATAGCCTTTACTTTCCAAGTTAGTAGTCATTTGTGCGTCATTGTCATAGCAGTACCACAGACACTCACACATGTTCCTTTGATATTAATGGAACATTTCAGTTCATTGTTTCTTCTGCCTACTGCAATCAGGACGTCCACATTTTAAAATTATTCCCTCCTAACAATAAAAAATTATTTAGTTACCTTCCTGTAAGTTGAAAGAAGTTGGCCTTCCTGCCATTTTCCTTTGGAAAATATGAAATAATTATATCTTAATTCATATGCAAGGCTTTTTATTTTTTATTTGTTTACCAGATTGAGGTTTAACCCTCCTCCCGGGCTTAATTATGGTCATCCACCCCTAGAAGATAGGCCTTTCTGAGATTTATTCCAATTAGAAAAAAATGTAACACTTGTTACACATTTGGTATTCATTGAAGAGTTTCTCTAGGGTAGCATGATCCCTGAACTCTGAAAACTGAAGTAGGGTTGTGGAAACTGAAGAGTGAATTTTTTTTTTCTTTTTTCTTTTTTTTTTTTTTTTTGACAGGAGACAGGGTCTCACTCTGTTGCACAGGCTGGAGTGCAGTGGTACAATCATAGCTTACTGCCTCAAACTCCTGGGCTCAAAAAATTCTCCACCTCAGCCTCCTGAGTAGCTGGGACTACAGGCATGTGCCACCATGCCTGGCTAACCTTTAAATTTTTTGTAGAGACAGGGGTCTCACTATGTTGCCCAGGCTGCTCTTGAACTCCTGAGCTCAAGTAATCCTCTTGCCTTGGCCTCTCAAAGTGCTGGAATTATAGGCATAAGCCACTGAACCCAGCCAACAGTGAATTCTTTATGTACAAGTTTCAGTTTGAAAGGGTATGAATTAATATAGGAGAATTGAACTGTAGGGAGAAAGAATACACAATTACTCTGACACTGAAACCACTCTACCCAGTGATTAAGAACTGTCTGGAGATCTTTTGGTCAAGAATGAGCCTGTGAGCTCCAAGATTCAAATGGCGAAGCTCCTTTTGCCGTCCTTGCAAACACATGACAATGAAAAAGTGCATACAAATTTAAAGGACTTAGCTCAGCTAAAAAATAAGAAAAGCATTTCCTTGACTTGAACAGATGAGGACACAGATCTGCCTATCTGAAGCTACAGATCTGGGCTATAGAATCAGAAACCACATAGATGACAAGAGTACAATTTCTGTGGGGCAAGTGGAGTTTTAACTAGTGGCAGGCACCAAAGTCAGGCTCACAGTGTAAAACTGGATATTAACAAGAGGCTTGCTTCTTATATATTTAGATTTAAAAGGGTTTTGGCCTATGTCCAGGGCTTATAGTTCACATCTGGTAGCTTCTTGGATTAGGAGAAATGAGGTAAACCATTGTTCTCCTGGCAGGATATGAGTCTTATCCATTGATTAATGTAAGACTCTCTTCAAATTGGGGACCTGGGGAAACTGGATAAGTCACAAGAAATCTGCCAAATATAAGAACGTAAACATGGGGATAAGAAAAGCAAGACAAACACAAAACAGAAAAGCCTGCTCCTCAAACTGGACTTTTACAAGGATATTTCTGTAGGTCATAGGTACATTCACTATCTTGATTGTGGCAATGGTTTTGCAGGTATATACATGTTAAAACTCACTAATCACTAAATATGGGTAGTTCATTGTATGTCAATTTTTACTCAATAAAACCTTTTTAAAAAGTACTTACAAACCAGTTTTAAATTAGTAAAAATAAATTCATCATAAAATAGGTAATCAGCTCTAATACCAAAAAATTCTATCTAGAAATGAAAAACAAAATAATTTTCTGAAAATAAGTATGATATGAGAATGCTTAAAATCTTCAAGAAGGAAAGAAATAATATACAGAAAGCAAGAACAAGGAAATAATGAAATAACAACAAGAAAAAGGTGGATATCAATCCAAGAGCAGGAAGATTAAAAAAAATTATTAAAAAATCTGGAAATGTAAAATATAGCCATTGTGATTAAAACACAATAGAAATAATAAGTGCTATACTAAATAAAATCTAAGAATTAGTAAACTGCAAAAGTATTAAGACAATTACCTGAAACATAGCTTAGAAAAATAAAGAAATAAAACACCTGAAAAAGGAACACATGAGAAATAGAGAATACATAGAGGAATTCTAGAAGGAAAGAATTGGGGCAATGAAGGAGGAGTGTAATTTGAAGAATAGCTGAATTAAAGAAAAATGTGCATCCACAAATTGCAAGGGCATACTGACCAGAATTAAATAAATAAATTCACAGATAAACAAATGTAGAAAATTAAGAATAAAGAAGAATTCATAGATTAAAAAATTGGAGGTGGGTGGACCACTTGAGCTCAGGAGTTCGAGACCATCCTGGACAATGTGGCAAAACCCTGTCTCTACAAAAATCACAACTAGCCAGGCATAGTGGTGTGTGCCTGTAGTTCTGTTACCAGAAAGGCATCCTGATCTAAACCCCCAGAGAGGTTCTTGGATCTCACGCAAGAAGGAATTCAGGGTGAGTTCATAGAGTAAAGTGAAAGCAAGTTTATTAAGAAAGTAAAGGAATAGGCTCTTGAGCTGCTTGCTCGAGCCTGTCTGACTCTGTAGAGTGTACTTCCATTTCAATATATCTGTGCTTTTCTTATGTTAAAAAAAAAAAAAAAACCGCTTTGGGAGGCCAAGGCAGGTGGATCACCTGAGGTCAGGAGTTCAAGACCAGCCTGACCAACATGGTAAAACCCTGTCTCTACCAAAGACACAAAAATTAGCCAGGTGTGGTGGCACATGCCTGTAATCCCAGCTACTTGGGAGGCTGAGGCAGGAGAATTGCTTGAACCCGGGAGGCGGAGGTTGCAGTGAGCCAAGATCACACCATTGCACTCCAGCCTGGGCAATAGAATGAGACTCTGTCTCAAAATAAAATAAAATAAAATAAAATAAATAAAGCAAAGGAATAAAAGAATGGCTACTCTACAGGCAGAACAGTGGCATGAGCTGCTGGTTGCCCATTTTTGTGATTATTTCTTGATTATATGCTAAACAAGAGGCGGATTATTCATGAGTTTTCTAGGAAAGGTGTGGGCAATGCCCAGAACTTAGGGTTCCTCCCCTTTTTAGACCATCCAGGATAATTCCCTGACATTGCCAGGGCATTTGTCGTGGCGCTGGTGGGGAGTGTCTCTTAGCATGCTAATGCATTATAGCTAGCGTGTAATTAACCATGAGGATGATCAGAGGTCACTCTTATTGCCATCCTGGTTTTGGAGAGTTTTGGCAGGCTTCTTTACTGCAAGCTGTTTTATCAGCAAAGTCGTTTATGGCCTGTATCTTGTTCAGACCTCCTGTCTCATCGTGTGACTAAGAATGCCTTAACCTCTTGGGAATGCAGTCCAATAGGACTTAGCCTTATTGTACCAAGCCCCTATTCAAGATGGAGTTACTCTGGTTCAAATGCCTCTGAGCATTTTAGCTACTCTGGAGGCTGAGGCGGGATGACTGTTTGGGCCCAGGAGGTTTAGGTTGCAGTGAGCTGTGATCCCGCCACTGCACTCAATAGGACAGAGTGAGATCCTATTTTCTTTACTTCTGAAAAGAAAATAAAAAACAAATAAACAAAAGAATGAAAATAAACGAGCTAACTGACAGTTTCAGAAGAATAACAGAATAAACCCAAACAATGTAAATGTTAATTCTTTATTTAAAATTTTAAGGAAAAAACCCCACTACCACACTTAAGGCTAATGGGAAATGGCATCCAATTAAACATAGAAATATGTAGCAAGACCAACCAAGGGAAAAAAGAAGGAAGAATGCACAAATAATAAAATTATATATGCAAAGTGGAAGAGAAAACAGCATAAAATACAGAATCAATCAGTAGAGGTTTTAAAAACCATAAACAGACCAGGTATGGTGGCTCATACCTGTAATCTCAGCTCTTTGGGAGGCTGAGGCAGGTGGAAAGCTTGAGGCCAGCCTGGCCAACATGGTGAAACCCCCTCTTTACTAAAAATACAAAAATTATCCTGGTGTGGTGGTGCACACCTGTAGTCCCAGCTACTCAGGAGGTTGAGGCACAAGAATCACTTGAACCCAGGAGGCAGAGGTTGCAGTGAGCAGCGATTGTGCCACTGCACTCCAACCTGGGTAACAGAGCAAGACTGTGTCTCAAAAAAAAAAAAAAGGCAAGTTAATGTCAATAAATTTTAAAATTTAGATACAATAAACTGTTTTATAGAAATAATACATTGAATACCAAAATAAACTGGCTAAAGAAATGAACTGAATAGCTCTTCCAAAGTATAAAAAAAAAGATAATATCTTTCTTATATAAACTTTCAGAAAAGAGCGGAGGAAAATAAAGTTACTCCACTCATTTTACAAGGCTAATATAAGCTTGATATCTAAACCAGAGAGAAACAGCCTAAGAATGGAAAGGTGTAACCAACCTCACTTGTAAACACAGACATAAATATGTTAAAATATAAGAAAAGTGAATGAGTAGTACACTTAAAAAATTATTATGATGACCAGGTGGAGTTTATTTTAGGAGAAAAAAAGATGTAATCGACTAAATTAACAGATTAAAAAATATGATAAGTTATAAGCAAAAAAGCCTTTGGCAATATACACCTCTTATTCTTGATAGAAAATCCTACAGCTTGGAAACAATCGAACAGCTTTAATCTGAAACCTACAACAAAAGGTATACACACAGTATAAAGAAAAAACTATAGAAGCATTTGCACTAAAATCAGTAACAAGAATGCTCTCTATAGAGCAGGAAAAACTATTTGCAATTCACAAAGAGCCAATTTCCCTAATATTTAAAGAGCTCCTGTAAATATATACAGCATTTCTTTCTCCAATTAGAATGAACTCTTCTTGAAGTTGGAAACAATCCTTATTTACTATTCACCCCCAGGACATGAGATAGTGCGGGGCATACAGAATTGTTACACGTTGTTACATAAATACATAATTGTTAAATAAGAGTTGTTCCTTGGTATTCTCAGGATGTATTAGTCCATTTTCACATTGCTATAAAGATACTACCTTAGACTGTGTAATTTATAAACAAAAGAGGTTTAATTGACTCACAGTTCAGCATGGCTGGGGAGACTTCAGGAAACTTAGAATCGTGGTGGAAGGGGAGGCAGGCACCTTCTTCACAAGGCGGCAGGAGAGAGAAAGAAGTCCAGGGGAAACTGTAACTTATAAAACCATCAGATCTCGTGAGAACTCCCTCAGTATCACAAGAACAATATGGGGGAAACCACCCCATGACCAATCACCTCCAACCAGGACCCTCCCTCAGCACCTGGGGATTACAATTCAAGATGAGATTTGGGTGGGGACACAAAGCCTAACCATATCACAGGGGGACTGGTTCCCGAAGCCAAGCGTATACCAAAATCTACAAACACTCAAGTCCTGCAGTCCACCCTACAGAGCCCACATATAGGAAAATTCAGCCCTTGTGTACCTGGGTTTCATATCTGGCGAATAATGTATTTTCCAAACACATTTGGTTGAAAAAAAATCCATGTATAAGTGGACCCTTGCAGTTCAAACCTGTGTTGTTCAAGTATTTGTTGAATGTAGTAGACTGCCAAAATAGCTTTTTACTTCTTGTAAGGACAAGAGTGATGCCTTCCAAGCTCTTTACACTTCAGAGTTGAAACCAGAAGGTGAACAAGTTTTTGGACACTTTGCTTACAAGTAAAGTTTTTTAAAAGTAGAAAGAGCCAGGCTGAGTGGTGCATGCTTATAGTTTCAGCTACTGGGGAGGCTAAGGTAGAAGGACTGCTTGAGTGCAGGAGTTCAAAGCTGTATGTGTTGCACTATGATTGCATCTGTGAATAGGCACTGCACTCTAGCCTGAGCAACATAGCAAGACTCTCTCTTAAAAAGACAAAAAAGAAACCCCTAAAAACTGAATTTTTTTTTAAAAAAAGTGGAAAGTGTGGCTTCAGGCAAAAAGTAAGTAATGTTAACAAATTCCTTGTATTTGAAAGGAAGCCTTGGAAGCACTGATAGGGATCTATTCAGACTCCAGCTGTCATAACTCCCAGGCCTGTAGTAAAAGTTTCAGCTTAAAAGCCAAGCCAGCCATACCTTCTCATTTCTCAGCATTGTCTAAGTGTCAGTCTCTTTGAATCATTTTCTAAACTTGCTAGACAAATTCTAAAAGGGCTGTAACACTCTGAATAATGTTTTCTGATGACCAGGACATACAGACCATGAGGCAACTGTAGCCTCTGTACAGAAAGAAGAAAATTTTGATCAATTGGAACAAAATGCCCCTTAATAAAATTTTGGTTAAGCTCTCTCCTTCCTCCAGACCCCTAAATTTTGCCCCACCATTATCCTGAAAAAGCATACAGCCCCTCCGGAGAATAAACTGGCCTCCAGGTAAAATAGTCTCTGATCTATCTGATCACGTCACCCGTTTGCCTCACTTCCCCATACCTGGTTCTTTCTAGCTTTGTTTACTCCTTATAAAAGAAAAACTCTTTTTTCCTAAATCTCAAGTCACTTGTAGACCTGTGGTCAAAGCATTTTTCCCACTACGATTTTTGCCCCCTAATGCAATAATTCTTTTGAATAAAGTCTCTCCTTATAAAGTCTGGATTTGACTTTTATTCCACAGTCTCCCTAATAATTTATCTTTCTATTGCCTACCCTGTGATATCCCAAGCCTAAGGGTTTCAGGTTTTATGATTAACCTTAATACTCAAGATAAAATGATGAGACACCACATGGAGCAGATTGCTGCTGTTGCACCTGAGGTCCTTGTAGACCCATTAGCCTCCAGCCAATCCAGCAGCAGATTACAGACATAGAAGGGAGTCCCAGGGAGACCTAAAGGATTTCCCATCTGAGCTCAGTAAAAATTGCCAAAGTGTGGAGTCATGAACTATATAAGAGAATGTTGTTTAAGCCTCTAAGCTTATGTATGCTTGTTATGCAGCAATAGATTAAGGGTATATTGACTGAATATATGAATGAATGAAAGAATGAACAAAAATCAATCTGGAGACTGTGCTGACTCCTAAGTAAGAAGGCAAACAAGGATCTCCATAGCAGATTGTTACTGGGGCTTCTGATCCAAGATGATATATAGTATGTGATCTGACACAGATGAAAAAAAGTCTTTTGAGTGTATTTTTGAAACATCAGTTGCTATGGGGGTGTTTGGAAGTGTATCAAATGGTGTCACCCACTAAAAATATGGAGTCATGATATTAAGAGAATACTAGTGAGTTCTTAGTGAGTCATGCATTCACCCTAGTCTAAAAAATATCTTCATAATGTTGTAAAGACAAGTCAAAATTACATAGAAAGTTGGATTAGTTTTTTAAGGCACTTGTAAAACGTGAGGGTATATTAATTCAACATCTATTCAGTAAAAATACAATAACCCTTCCCTTTATATACCAGGTACTTTACTGGATGCTGGGAATAAACCAGTAAAGACATAGTCATCAAAATCAAGAATCTGAGTTGAACTGAAAGATACTGACAATTACAATAGTAAATGCAAGGACAGCAGTTAAGGAATTTATTGCCTATGTAACTTTATATTTTGGGATAGCACTAAGATCAGACATGGCTGGATTCAAGGCTGAAATGATGTGGTCAGAATTTAACTTCCCTACCTTCCTCCCTCCATTTCTCTCTCTCTCTTTCTTTCTTTCTTTTTTTTTTTTTTTTTGAGACAGAGTCCCACTCTCTTGCCCAGGCTGGAGTGCAGTGGCACGGTCTCGGCTCACTGCAACCTCCACCTCCTGGGTTCAAGCAGTCCTCCTGCCTGAGCCTCCCAAGTAGCTGGGACTAATTTTTTTATTTTTACGGGCTATTTTTTGTATTTTTAATAGAGATGGGGTCCGGCTAATTTTTGTATTTTTAGTAGAGATGGGGTTTCACCATGTTGGCAAGGCTGGTCTTGAACTCCTGACCTCAGGTGATCCACCCACCTCGGCTTCCCAAAGTGCTGGGGTTATAGGCATGAGCCACTGTGCCCAGCCATCTCCATTTGTTAACTCTGCTTTCCTCTGTTGGTCTCATTCAGGGGTTCCACATGGTAGCAAGATGGTACCAAGATGGTGGAAACAGTTTCAATCCCAATCTGAAGATCTCTTATGCTTCAGATCCAATGAGAAAAACAACAACAACAACAACAACAACAAACAAAACACAAGCTCCTCTTTCTTGAATCATTTGCTCATCCTTGAACCAATCTCTCAGGAAGGCATTGTGAATGTGATTCACTGGTTTAAACCTGGATTATATGCTACACTTCCTGGAGTTTTGGGCTCTGTTCAGAACCACATGGACAGAAAAATAAGAAAGAGCACAGATCCTCAAATGTTACCAGAAGTAAGGCAAATGGATGGTGGGGGCCAAAACACAATCAATGTGCACTATATAGAGCCTAGGGTTTGTCTTTCTCATTTACCGCAAAATTTTACACACATTTATCATTTGTTTTTTTTTTTTTTTTTTTTCTGAGACAGGGTCCCACTATGCTGCCCAGGTTGGACTCAAACTTCTGGACTCAAGGGATCCTCCTGCCTCAGTCTCCTGAGTACCTGGGACTAAAGATGTGTACCACTGCACCTGGCTTGGTTTACCTTTTTATGCTGGCCTTTGTCTTTGACATATGTGGGTTTAATTTTTATTGTTCTTAATGTTGCTAAATATGTCCTTCTTTTTCTTACTGATTATTTTAGGACATTTAGCCAAATTCTCCATAATTCTCACCACAACATTAATTGCTTGTGCATTTTCTTCTCATGAGGAAAAAATGGAAATAAACTGTGACTCAATATTGTTCTCAAGAAAGTCCCACCA